>NC_000011.10:41272121-41575151 GCF_000001405.40 Homo sapiens | reverse complement strand
TAGCTTCTTTCATGATTTTTCTATTTATCTTTCACTGTACCCAGTTTGCCTATGAAGTGTTTAGGACTGTGCTTGTGTATGTGTGCACATGTGCGTGTGCGTGTGTGTATGTATGTGATAGTTACATTGCTTTAGGTTCTCTGAGTTTTTCAGATTTGCAGTTTGACTTAGTTCATTATTTTTAGAAAATTCTTGATCGCTTTTTGGATATTTTATCTTTCCAATTATCTGTCTCTTCTCCTTCTGTTATTCCAATTTAAAAAACAAAAAACAACAACAACAAAAAAACAGCTTGTATCATTCACAGAGCTCTGGCACAGAAAGCCAGCACTCATATTTTGTCTCACCTTTGAGGTCCCTATCTGTTCTTAAAGTTTGAGCTGGCTGGGTGCGGTGGCTCACACTTGTAATCCCAGCACTTTGGGAGTCTGAGGCAGTTGGATCACGAGGTCAGGAGTTCAAGACCAGCCTGGCCAAGGTGGTGAAACCCCGTCTCTACTAAAAAATACAAAAATTAGCCAGTCGTGGTGGTGGGCACCTGTAATCCCAGCTATTCAGGAGGCTTAGGCAGAGAATTGCTTGAACCTGGGAGCTGGAGGTTGCAGTGACCCAAGATCTCACCACTGCACTCCAGCCTGAGCGACAGAACGAGACTCCATCTCAAAGGAAAAAAAAAAAAAGTTTGAGCTAATTGTCCTGCATCCTCAGCTCATTAATAGGTTCAAAAAAAGTAATAATTTTGTAGCTTATGTGATTTTCCATGTTGTCACAATAATAATCCTGTTTCTTTCTGTATACATATTAATCATAAAATGAGAGTGATAACTACAGTATTATACTTTCTTATATAGACCCTTCAGAGATACATTTACATAGATAACATTCATTCTGTCTCCACTGCATATAAATCATTATTTTACTTAAATCAGTGTTTCAGTTTTAACTTCTTATAATCATGCAAATATTATTCATAGCAGGATGAATATTATTATAGGAATATATATCTTTCTTATGCAATATTTTGGGTTTTTTAGGAGTTCAGAGCTTCCTTATTTTTACTTTGCTTGCTTTTATTTCATATATAACTAATTCATCTACAAACTGTCAGACAGAAAAGTAAATATAATCACAAAATAGTGATATGCTTATAATCTGGCTCTTTGAGGGCAAGGGAGTAGCAGTGATTGTAATGCTTGTTAATTTACATAGTGTAGATACTCTTGCCATGGCAAATTTCAAGTTATTAGTATTTTAAAAGGGGATGGCAAAAGCCTTAAATATTTAACCATTGACTCTCAAGAATCAGTATGAACTAGTATCTTACGTTGCTCAGGTTTCCATAACAAAATACTGTAGATTGAGTGGCTTAAACAACAGAAATTTATTTCTGACAATTCTGAAGTTTTAAAAAGTCTCAGGTCAAAGTCTGGCAGGGTTTAATTTCTAGTGAGGGCTCTCTTCTTAGCTCTCAGATGGGCTGGCGTCTCATTGCATCCTCTCACGGCTTTTCCTCTGAATGTGGGGAAAGAAAGAGCAATCGGTCTCATTTCTCCTTTGATAAGGACACTAATCCTATCAGATCAGGCCCCACCCTTATGACCTAATCTAATGTTAATTGTCTGTTTATATCCCTTATATCCAAATATGGTTACATTGGGGATTAGAGTTTCAACATGTGAGTTTTGTTGGGACAAAAATTCAGTCCATAGCAACTGGCTTCAGCACACCACTGACAGCAGTAATATAAAAGTTTTATATTTTTCCCTGGAGTCCTAACATTTTGAACCTACCACTGTCCTGCTTGAAAGTGGAATAGGTGCTCCCTAGCACTATTGAACTGTCTTCCTGGGGCCCATTCCTCATGGTCCTGGGATTCACCTGTTATGTTAGGTGGCCTCTTCTTGAATCAGTGTCTTCTTCTTTCTTGATTTACTCTCAAAATTCAAGATGCTTCCTGAGAAAGAAAGCAAGTGAGGCAATTTTTAAAGGACCTGTATTTTTATTCTACTTTGATACTTTAATGGGATATTGTTGAATAGAGTTCTAGGCTGGAAATATTTTTCTTCAGAATTTCAATAACACCATTGTTTTATGGTTTTCAATGTTGCTCTCCAAAAGTACGGTGCTATTCTGATTTTAATTATTTTGCTTGTCACATTTTTTTCCTAGAAGCTTTTAGAATATACTTTTTATCAGCTGCATTCTCATATTTCATGATGAAGCTGTACATAACAGGCCTTGAGTTGCACGAAAAAAGCCAACAAGGACAAACAAAACATGTAAAAAAAAAAAGTAACATACTTTCTTTTAACATGGAAAGTATGACTGTCCTAGAAAACAAGAGACAGCTAAAACCTGCTTTTTCCTTCTGAAAAGTTTATTATTAAGATAATAGACTAATCATCTAAATTTCGCATTCTTAAATATTTTATTTTCATCTACTTATTCTTTGTTTACTTATTGGGATATGTCTTTTCAATACCTCTACAAAATATTTTTTAAAGGCAAACTTTAAAATGTTAGATTTTCAGTGGCTTATTTGTATTCTCTGAATGCTGTACAGAGGTATATTGTGTCCTATTCTGGTTTATATGGGAGCAATGACATCTCATATTTCTGAGATGTACAAATAATTTTTCTGAATTTGTTCCCCTCTCCAGCTTCATAATTTTTGTTTCCTCTAATTGTTTTTATTCTGTTTGTTTAGGTCTTTGTTTTGATGGTAGATGTTTCTCCTCAAATGTCAGATGATCTGTCACTGACTGTTTTTAAAATGCTATTTATACTTTAAATGTATAAAACAAATTATAAATGACACAAACAAGTGGAAAATCACTTCACACTCATGGGTCAGAATAATCAATATTATTACAATATTCACACTGCTCAAAGCAATCTTCAGATTCAATGCAATCTTTATCAAAATATTAAAATTATTTTTATACAATTATAATAAACAATTCTAAATTTCAAATGGAACAAAAAAGAGCCCAAATAGCCAACAAAATCCTAAGCAAAAAGAACAAAGTGGGTGACATCACATTACCTAACCCCAGATTATACTACAATGCTATACTAACCCAAAGAGCATGGTACTGGTATAAATATAGACACATAGATCAACAGAACAGTATAGAAGGCCAAGAAATAAAGCCACATATTTACAACCAACTGATCTATGACAAAGTTGACAAAACATACACAAGGGAAAGGACACTTTTTTCAATAGATGGTGCTGGGAAAATTGGATTGCCATATACAAAAGAATGGAACTGGACCACTATCTCTCACCATATACAAAAATCAACTCAAGATGGATCAAAGACTTAAATATAAGACCTGAAACTATAAAAGTACTAGAAGAAAACCTAGGGAAAACTTTTCAGGACATTGGTTTAGGCAAATAGTTCATGACTAAGGCTTCAAAACCACAAGCAAGAAAAACAAAAATAAACAAGTGGGACTTAATTAAACTAAAAATTTCTGCACAGCAAAATAAATAATCAGAATGAACAGATAACTGACAGAATGGGAAAAATATTTGCAAACTATACATCTGACAGGGAACTGATATCCAGAATTTATAAGAAACTCAAACAACAGCAACAACAAAAACAAATAACCCCTTTAAAAAGTGGGCAAAGGACATGAATAGACATGTTTTAAAAGAAGACATATAAATAGTGAACAAACATATGAAAAAATACTCATCATCACTAATCATTCAGATAAATGTAAATTAAAACCACAATGGGATACCATCTTACGCAAGTAAGAATGGCTGTTATTAAAAAGTAAAAAAAAAATCAAAAGATGGTGGCCAGGATGCAGAGGAAAGGGAATACGAATACCCTACTGGTTGGCATGTAAATTAGTATAATCTCTATGAAAAACATATGGCATAATGTGTGTGTGTGTGTGTGTGTGTGTGTGTGTGTACACACACACAGTAGTATATGATTCGGCCATAAAAAATGAAATGATGTCTTTTGTAGCAACATGAAGTGAGCTGAAGGCCATTATTTTAAGTGAAACAGCTCAAAAACACAAAGTCAAATACCACGTTATAACTTATAAGTGGATGCTAAATAATGTTTACACATGGACATAGAGTGTGTAATAATGAACACTGGAGACTTAGAAAAGTAGGAGGATGGGAAAGGAGAGAGGGATGATAAATTACTTCATAGGTATATGTACCTTATTCGAGTAAAGGTTACCCTAAAAGCCCAAACTTCACTATGCGGTATAGCTAAGTAACAAAACTGCACTTATACACTTTACATTTATACAAATAATATAAATAAATAGAAGTTGAGGGGTTTGGCTTCAGGGTATGATTACTTGTTGCGTATCTAATTTTGAGCCTTTTTTCGTGGGATGATTATTTTTTCTAAATAAAATCCTGACACTCAGACCTCAGAAATGATCACTTTAGGTGCCATTCTTCTGAAATATGAGTTGAATAGAAGAAGGAGCTTGGTGATCTTCCAATTACATAAATAGAATTTTAATATCTGCTTTTGATATAGATTCTTCCTACTGCACCCCCATACCTGTGTCCTAATCACTAGAGTTCCTGCGATTCAATTTCTCCAAAGAGAAAACTATCAGGCTTCTTGATTTTGCAACCATTTCACAGGATAAACTTAAGTTTTAAAGAAGTTTTAAAAGGAGACTAATCTATTCAAATTGGATGGTTTACTTTTGGATTTTCCTCAGAAGCAGAAATGCGCAGTCAAAGTAGTGTTCCACCCCTTTGTCATTCCTCGTCTAAGGAGCAGATCTGTGACTCGAACTCCAGTTTTGCCTTACAAAGACTTTGACTTTCCCAGAGTCGCTGTCTACATAATTTTGCTGTTCATCTAGTCTATCGATGTAGGATATGAGCAAGGATCCAAACCTTAACAGCTGTACCAAATCCCACAAGACATATAAGCAGATGTTGAAATTAAAAAATAATGCAGCTTGAAGGAGAATAGAAAAAAAATCTGAGAACCAACATCTTAGAATTACAAGCAAATTCTAGTTTTGTACTCATAATTTACAGGTTCCCCTTCCTTACCCCTCCACTCCACCAGCACACGCACACACACACACACACACACACACACAATCGGTGACTTTAATTGGGGCTGAAATTTGGAGGTGATTTTTAAATGTTGCACGTAAAAGAGATTTCTATGGCTCTAATAAGTCCTGGATAAAACTTTTCTGCTTTGTGACAAGCTGGGGATATCACATTGCTGTGCTATCAAGAGGCACATTAATTTCATGAGGCCAATAAGTTCACCCAAGTTCTACCTATTGATTTTCATAATCCTCATCACAAGATATGTTGAATGCAGGACCATCACTACAAAAAGGAAGTCTTAATATAGATAACTATTACCTCAGCCAATAGTCTCTTCCTTATTTTGAAGTTTTCAAATAGTTATAAAGTGAAAATGCATGATGTTTATAAGCATTTATACTGCATTTGCTATCTTGGATAGGTTGTTCAAAAATTTGAAGTCTTGATTTGGTCTTCTTCATCAAAGGGTAGTATCATTTGAAATATTGTTTATGTAGTTTTTAATTTATTACAGAATATTTTAAACAGAATGTGTCAAGGACGAAAGTCCCATAGGACTTTTCTCATTTTTTATTATTTTTTATTTTTGTACAGATGAGGTCTCACTATGTTGCCCAGGCTGGTATTGGACTCCTGGCCTCAAGCATACTCTTTCCTTGGCCTCCCAAAGTGCTAGGATTGCAGATGTGATCCAGAACACCCTGCCAAGACGTTTCTTTGATTGACTTTGACGACTATCTACGATAGAGGTTATTAAAGTTTTTTGTTCAAAAACATGAGATAGCAGAGACACGTCAACAGCATAGTGGAATGGGAAGTACTGGACCTTCATTTCCTCAACAAACACAATGATTTTACAACAATTCATGGACAGATTAGCTTTGGAGTAATCAGCAACTAATTGAAAGTCTCCTGCTTCCTGGGGGGTGCAAAAGCAGACTCATTGAAGCCAATAGGAAGATTGAGGACAACTTTTCACCAGAGACCTTGACACTGGTGCAGTGCCATATGATCAGAAAGAGACTCCCTAGCTCCTACCTTTACCCAGAAAAGGGAATGGGTTGATTTGCAAGTCCATCTCTCTGAGGAGGTTCCTTAGAGGACTGGCTTTTGTCCTTTCAGCCTTGAAATTCTGATGATCTAGCACAGTCTAGCTATTCAGGGTAGAATGGAGGCAGCAGTTTGGACTGGCAAATGTCATTGCTTTCTCTACCTTGCTCAGCACAGAGCAAAAGGATAAAAAAATCCCAGATCTGAACTTCCTCCTGGGGATGGAAAAAGTTGATCCATGAGTCTAGCACACCACTTTCCCTAGGGCTTCTCCCAAAATTAACATGTGTCTCACCAGTCTTAAAAGTCACATAGATCTAGCACCATCTGCCCAGGAGAGAATGAAGACAATGACTTGAACGTAGATGCTATATGACTCCCACCCTGGCTCAGCACAGAGCGAATTAACGAAAACCACAGCTGCCTTCAGCTCCCTGAGGAGGAAAAGAGATAGTAAAGAATGTCAGAACATCTGTTCAGGCTGAGGGTGGTGATCTTCTGCTGTATAAGTCCAGTCTGTCATGATTAGGGGAGGTTTTGCTTTGTCTAATGTACAGACACCAACACAGGGACTCAAAAAAGAGAAAGAAAAAAGAAAGAAGAATAATGAGCCAAATATTTTCCAAATAAAGAAATCAAAAAATTTTCAGAAATTTACTCTATTAAAATGGAATTGTATAGTTTACCTAATAGAAAATCAGAAATAATTATCATAAGAATGTTCACAGAAATAATTGTCATAAGGATGTCAAGAGAACAATGAATGGACAAAGTGACAGTTTCAAGAAATACACAGAAAATATTAAGAAGTACCAAAACGAAACTATGAAGATGAAGAACAAAATAGTTCAACTAAGAAAAATTAGTAGAGGAGTTCAGCAGACTACATCATACATAAGAAAGAATTAATGAACTCAAAAACAGATCACTGGAAATAATTTAGCCAGAGGAGAATAAGGAAAAAAGAATGAATAAGAGTAAAGAAATCTCAATAAAATTATGAGACATCATCAAGCAGACCATTATATGTATTATGAAAGGCCCAGAAGGAGAAGAGAGAAAAAACTCAAAAGCATATTCAGAGAAATAGTGGTTGAGGCCGGGAGTGGTGGCTCACGCCTGTAATCCCAGCACTTTGGGAGACTGAGGTGGGCGGATCACCTGAGGGCACAAGTTCAAGACCAGCCTGGCCAACATGGTAAAACCCTGTCTCTACTAAAAATATGAAAACTAGCTGGGTGTGGCGGCGGTTGCCTGTAATCCCAGCTACTTGGGAGGTTGAAGCAGGAGAATCATCTGAGCCTAGGAGGCAGAGTTTGCAGTGAGCCCAGATCTCACCACTGCACTGAAGCTTGGGTGACAGAGCAAGACTCTATCTCAAGAAAAATAAATAAATAAATGAACAAATAAATAAATAAATAAATAATGGCTGAAGACTTCCCAAATTTGAGGAAGAAAATAGATGTTCAGATCCAAAAACCCAAAGGACATCAAATAAAATAAATCTACACTGAGACACATTATAATCAAAATGTCAAAAGTCAGTGACAAACAGAAAATTTTGAAAGCAGCAAGAAAAAAGTGACTGTTCAGATATAAGGGACACTTCCATGCTCCCTTCTTCTTGCCATAAAGCTATCAGCAGATTTTTCACCAGAAATTTTTATTTCAGGCAAGAAAGGTATGAGGTGATATATTTAAAGTGCTGAAAGAAAAAAAAAACTATTAACTAAAAATACTATACCTGGATTACACACATATATATATATATTTAACAAAGGAGAGAGAAGCTTTTTCTCAGACAAACAAATGCTAAGGGAGTTCATTACCAAGGAACCTGCTTTACAAGAAGTGCTGAAGGGATTAGGTTAAAATGAAAGAATGCTGACCAGCAATCTCACAGCTTAAGAAAGTATGAAACTCATTGGTAAAGGAAAATATATAAACAAATACAGAATACTGTATTACCATAATAGTGGGTAAATAACTTTCCATTCCAGCATTAAAAGTAATTATAACTAAAGAAATATTAAAAGATATGCAATATTAATATATGTAAGTTGTGACATTAACATAAAATGCATGTGAGAGGGAAAGTTAAAGTGTAAAAAGTTTTTGCAAGTGATGTAACTTGTTATATGCTTAGAGCATACTGTTATAAAATATTTTTATGTAAGCCCTAAAGGTAAGAAAGAAGAAAAGCTAAAGAAGTTAGAGAAAAGTAAGGTGAAAGAAATTTCAAAGAAAAAAATAACACTAATAGAAAACAACTAACAATATGTAAATAATAAATCCTTCCCTGTCAATAATTATTGTAAACATAAACCAATTGAATTTCCCAATGCAATTACATAGGGGGGTGAATGGATTAAAAAACTATGACCTAACAATATGCTGTCTACAAGAAATTCACTTTAGATTTAAGGACACACATAGACTGAATGTGAAGGGATGGGAAAAGACATATTGAATGTCTTCAATATGTTACCTTTTGGTAACATATTGTTACCTATGGGTAACATTTTGTTTACCTTTTGGTAACCAAAAGGGACCATGAGTGGTTATACCTATATCCAACAAAACAGATTTTAAGTCAAGACTTGTCACGGATGACAAAGAAGAACATTAAACATTGATAAATGGGTTAATCTATCAGGAAGGTATAATAAGTATATGTGCACTCCCTTACAGATCTCCTAGATACATAAAGCAAACATTTACTGATCTGAATGGAGAAATGGACAGCAATACAGTAATAGTAAAAGACTCAATCCCCCACTTTCAATGATGGACAGAACATTCAGACAGAAGACAAATAAGGAAACAGAGGACTTGAATAATACTATAGATCAAATTGATCTAACAGACATACACAAAACATTCTAACCAACAGCAGCAAAAGACACATTCTTCTCAAGTGCACGTGCACCTTTCTCAAGGATAGATCACATGTTAAGTCACAAAACAAGGGTTTAAAACTTTAAGAAGACTGAAATCATACCAAATATATTTTCTTACCACAATGGAATAAAATTAGAAGGAATAAATACCATAAGAAAAACTGGAAAATTCAAACATAAATGGAAATTAAACAACAATCTTGAACAACCATTCAAGCATCAAAAAACCCAATTTTTTAAAAAAATAAATATTATTTTGAAACAAATGAAAATAAAAACATGCATAAAAAATTATGGGCTGCATTTAAAGGAGTAATAAATGGGGAGATTGTAAAAATACTCATGTTAAAAATATCTCAAATAGACAACCTAAATTTCCATCTCATGGAAATAGAAAAAGAAGAACAAAGTAGCCCATAGTTAACAGAAAGAAGTAAACAACAAAAATTAGACCAGAAATAAATAAAATAGAGAATATAAAAATAATAGAAAAAGATCAATGAAACCAAAAGTTGAGTTTTGAAAAGATAAACAAAACGTACAAAGCCTTAGCTAGACTAAGAAAAAACGGTAGAAGACACAAATAAATAACATCTAAAATGAAAGAAGAGACATTATGACTGATGTCACATAAATAAAAAGGACTACAAGACAGTACCATGAACAATTATATGTCAAAAAACTGAATAACCTGGAATAAATGTATACATTTCTAGAAACTTCTAAGCCTAAATAATGCAGAAATATAATGTGAACAGACCTATAAGAAGTACTGATATAGGAGTTAAGAAGAAATTACTTAGGTAGATAGTGAGGGTATAGAGGTTTCTCAAAAAGTAAAAAATACAGCTATCATATGATCTAGCAATACAACTGCTAGGCATTTTATCCAAAATAATATCAAGATCTCAAACAGATTTTAGCACTTGTATGTTAATTGTAGCACTATTTACAATAGCCAAGATGTGGAAATACTCTAAATGGCCTTTCAAAGATGAATATAGTATATACATCCAATAAAATAGTATTTAGCCTTAAAAAAGAAGGAAATTCTACAAGGCATTACACCATAGATGAACCTTGAGGACATTATGCTCAATGAAGCAAACCAGTCACAGAAAGAGAAACACTACGTTATTCCACTTATATGAAATCTCTAAATAGTCAAATTCATAGAATCGAAGAGTGAAATGGTGGTTACCATGGGCTGGGAGGAGCAGGAAAGGAGGAGTTGTTCATCAGCAGGAATGAAGTTTCAGTAAAACAAGATGAATAAGCTCCAGAGATCTGCTGTACAACATTGCATCTATAGTTAATAATAATGTATCATACAATTAAAAATATAAGGGAGTAGGTCTCATGTCTTAACATGAGATTGGTAGTTCTTACCAAGCTAACATAAAATATGTAAAATAAATCATATAGAACGTTGTTAATAACATCAGCTCTCAGTGGAACTCCAGAGTATCTACTTTTGAGCAAACTCTGGAAACATGCATTTTAAGCAACTGAGTAATGATTGCCGGTGGCTCCTATACCTAACTTTGTGGTTTACTTCTAGAAGGAAAATGCTGTAGACCTAACATACAAATCTAATGAGGTAGATATCCCTTTCTTCTTTCACAATCTTCATATTCACTTGTCACACTCTTCACTACTCAAATAACTGACAAAAATTTGTTTTATCTCATCTGACCCTTTGGAATATTCGTGTTATGTGTCTTGTTTCTGGATTTCTTTCTTTCTTTCACAGTCTTTAAAAGCTCATGTATCTACTTGAATAAACTGGTGGTTGATAAGTCCTTGTATATGCCTTTCATCTTTTCTAGGATGCATTACCATGAAATACCCTTGCAACCACAGTATCAACTACAAAGTCAGAAAGTAAGCATGTCATATTCCATTTCGGCCCTCAGTATTTTCCTATAAAACACTCTTTCCTGGTCTCACTATGCTTTTGGGCATTCAATACGTATTCATTATGCATTGAATATCTTGAAAATTTCTGACATATGTCACCATCCTAACAATTACTTTGATCTGTTTTTGGACAATGGAAAAGTACTTCAAATTTCAGAAAGCATATTTGAACTCTAATGCTTATGCAGCTCATCAGTGGCCTGAAAACTCCTTGGCAGATCCCCAGCAATTATGTCTATTCCACCAGCTGTAGGTTTTAATAACAGCATTTCTAATTAGCTAAATATTAAACCAACTAAATATATAGCTCACCTGCCCCATATAACTGAGTGATATTTGTTTACATATATTTATGAGTATTTTTAAACACATCTTTTATTTTTATTTTCTATGAACATTGTCATGTCAAATTCCAAGAAAGTAGAGGTTAAAAACAATGTTTATGCTGGTAGACAAAAAGAAAAAGCTAACTCTTCTATACACTCAAATGAATTTATCAACCTGCCTTACACCATAAGAGAGGTAAAGAGGTGATATTAATTTTTTCATAAATGTTCATGTACTATAGAAAGGATATAAGTGAAATACAGGGAAGACTTTAAGCTGTATTCTCTGAGGGAATATGTTATAGTCTTCTTTCCTTTTTAAATAATCAAGTGTTTCCTCCAGGCACTCTTGGAAGGCTGAGGTGGGCAAATTGCCTGTGCTCAGGAGTTGGAGACCAGCCTGGGCAAAATGGTGAAACCCCATCTCTACAAGAAATAAAAAAAATTAGCCAGGCATGGTGGCGTGCACCTGTAGTCTCAGCTACTTAGGGGGCTGAGGCGGGTGGATCTCTTTAGCCCAGGCTACAGTGAACCATGATTGCACCACTGCACTCATCTGGGCAACAGAGTGAGACCCTGTCTCCAAAAACAAAACAAAACAAAAAGTATTAAAGAAAGTATATAAGAATGAAGTGTTTCAAAGGGATACTCTATAAGCAGAATAGGACTAGGATTTGTTGGTGTGGATCATATCCACAGGCTCTTCTGGCCTGCATTCACAGTGGTAGGACATGCATTCCATGATAGAGTGAATTCTACTGACACGGAATGGCGGAAATTGAAGAGGATTGTTTATGTCTCCATAGGAATGCTTTGAGTCTACCTGGTCACTGCAAAACACCATATTGACTTTGTATAAGTAATGAGGAACTTTATTTTTTGTTTTTATTTTTTAATGAATTATTAGCAAAGTTTACTCCTGTGAAAAAGAGGTGGAGATAGCCAGATGATTACATACCATAGTTTTAGGAGTATTACTAAAAGAATTATTATAAAATGTTATCTCCTGTAATCCAAATTTAGTCTTTGATCATTTCTTGCCTGGGAAATTTACAACAATATTTCTAACTGGTTTGTGTGACTCTGATCTCTCTATTCTACAGTTCTTCCCACAGGCAGGAATAGGTAGATTTCTGAAGCAAAGTTGTAATCAGGTTTAAAAGCTGCAGGGAAACCCCATCGTCTGATTGAGAAAATAAAATGTCTAAATTGAGTTAAGTGATTTTTTAATGTGTATCTCCTGCCTATTATTAATCAACTTATTCATAAATTTTTCTAGGTGCCTGGTATGTCCTAGCCTGTGCATCACCAGAGCTACTAGCCATAACAAACCACTTCAAATTTAATGCAATGCATATTTTGCAATCCTTCTGTCTTTCCTGACATAGCCCCTCTTTCTGAAAAGTTATCTTTTGCTTTCATTGTTCATCACTTCCACATTAGACATATATCTTATTATTTGCAAAGCTCAAAATAATGTAATCTATGTGTGTTTGAATCAGTTTCTTTGCTTTACCTAAAAGACTAAAAATGTATTAGTCTTACTAATTTTTTTAATTATAAGGTAATATATCTTGTTGCAAAAAAAGGGGAGGTAGCATATAAAAGAGTAATAAAATGTCCTCCACTATTAATTTTCCCACAATACTTTTAATGTGCATTTTGCCTATTAATAGTATACATACATAAAATATATAAATCATGAACCTACAGCTTTGTAAAGTTTCACAAATTCAGCACACACAGAAATCAGGAATCGTATCAAGGAAGAGTCCAGTAGCACCAAACCAACAGTTCCTTATTTCTTCTGATTGTTACTCCTCCTCAGGAGTAACCACTACAATGATTCTTATTAGCTTGGCTTAATTTTGTCTCTTTTGAGTTTTTTGGAATAAAATACTACTAATTGCCCTGTGTCTGCCTTCTTTTTTTTTTTTTTTTTTTTTTTTTTAGGCGGAGTCTCGCTCTGTTGCCCAGGCTGGAGTGCAGTAGCGTGATCTCGGCTCACTGCGAGCTCCACCCCCTGGGTTCATGCCATTCTCTTGCCTCAGCCTCCCAAGTAGCTGGGAATATGGGCGCCCCCCACTATGCCCGGCTAATTTTTTGTATATTTAGTAGAGACGGGGTTTCACCGTGTTAGCCAGGATGGTCTCGATCTCCTGACCTCGTGATCCACCCTCCTCGGCCTCCCAAAGTGCTGGGATTACAGGCGTGAGCCACCGCACCTGGCCTTGTCTGCCTTTTTTTGCTCAGCATTATTATTATGAAATTCATCAATGACCCTGCATGCATTTGTGTATATGTAAATACACATATAAATACATACACACATACATATTTCTTTGGAGTCTAGACCAGGAAATAGAAATGCTAGGTATACATAAGGTGAGTTTTAGTGGATATTGCCACTTAAAAGTGATTCAATCAATTTACATTCACAATAGCTGTTTTGAGTTTCCCGTGCTGAAGGTTGGTTGAATACAGGTCTGTTGTACATATTTCTCATCCTTATGGAATCAGTGGGCTATCTAGGGCCTTTACTTCTTATGGCATTGGAAGAAATGCAAAAGGGATGAGTGGAACCATACATTGTCTCTTCAGGGTGTGGTTGAGAGTGGTCATACTATCACTTTTGTTCATATTTCATTGTACAAATCAAATCACATAGTCAAGCCCCAAAATCAGTAAGTGCCACATCTTTAGTGGAAAGAGCTGCAAAATCATGTAACAAATGTGAATACAGAGAAACATTGGGAATAACAATGCACTATAGCATAGTTTCCTCTCTTGATAACACTTATTTATATTCCTTCCATACACAGAATGCCTTTACACCCCAAGACATTCTAAATTCCTGTCTAATCCTTTTATTAAGCGCAAAGGCTAGAATTCTATGCCTTATAACAGGTCAGTATTTTTCTCCCCCTGAATCTTTTGGGGAAAAAAAGTCTACTCTTATATACCTAACACAGGGACAAAATGATCACAATAAACAATTACATTTAAAAGAGAGATGAGGCTGGGCAAGGTGGCTCATGCCTATAATCCCTATCCTTTGGGAGGCCGAGGTGGGTGGATCATGAAATCAGGAGTTCAAGACGAGCTGGCCAACATAGTGAAACCCTGTCTCTACAAAAAACACAAAAATTAGCCAGGCATGGTGGTGCGTGCCTGTAGTCCCAGCTACTCGGGAGGCTGAGGCAGGAGAATCACTTGAACCCAAGAGGTGGAGGTTGCAATGAGCCGAGATCACACTGCTACACTCCCACTTGGGCAACAGAGTGACACTTCATCTCAAAAAAAAAAAAAGATAGATAAATAGGAGATTTATAACAATCACTGTTTTTTATAAATTCTGGAATCTCAGTGAACAAATATTGAGTCTGGCTGTTCTTTGGCTATGAAACGTTCCTTGACTCTGAATCTGCTCACTGAGGTGGCTCCCAAGTCCATTTGTCTCTATAACTCTTGGATCAACCTCTGGGAGATACTTTACCCACCCCCACTATTTTTGTTGTTCATTTGCAAAGAAGCATTATAAAATATTTTATTGTTGGAGATTGATATGGTTTCTCAGGCTGTTACATGGCTACAGAAATGTAGGAGTCAAAAGATGTTAAACCTGAATAGTTTTAGTCTTCACAGTCCAAACTAGGGATGCTTTTGCTGATATAATTCTTTTCAATGTTGGGGGGTTTTGTTTGCAACTTTACACAACAAAAACACATTCACAATTAAGAAACAAGTCTTCAGTTGAGACTTGTTTATGGGTATGTTAGGCATTTCAGGCTTCTCTTTATCTTTTTAGCAAAAGCGATCTACTGGTGGCTCCCTTGATTCTCTGAGAGGTCTTAATAAAGAATGTGAGGGCTATGGCCTTGTCCTGGTTTATGTTTCCATGCTGTATCCTAAGAAGCATGCCTTATATTTTCCATCTAGGATAAATGTTAATTTCACAGAGTTTTGTTGTCTGTGGAGACGGAAGACGACCAAACAAAAAAAGTTATTTTTCACCTGAGCAACTTCCAGAAAGTTTTGACTCTCTATGGATCCTCCCAATTCTATTTATAAGCAACCAATTGTTCTCTGAGCTCACCTCTTTCTCGGAGCACTTTGTCATAGCTGGCAAAATGTAGCTCATTTTTTTTCTTTCTTTTTTTTTTACTTTCTGTGGAGACTCCTCTTTACAAAAGGCCAAACATCCTTTAGGTGAACTAAGTTTCTAAGTTATCACAGACAAGAGCTACAAATGGTTTTTCCTTTATATAACATGGATTTCCATTTTGTCTTACTTCCTGTCAGTTTCCTTACCATTTTCCCAGACTCATGCAGTAGTTTCCTTAAAACCTTTCTCCTGAACCCAAAGTTAACTGTCATTTTTTTACAGCTATATTATACTTCTAGGTACATCATTCTGTATCAGCTAAATATTGATGTAACTATATTGCATAATGAACCACCCCAAATATCAGTCACTTATAACAATAATGACTTATTTTTACTTATATGTCTGTGAGTCAACTGGAAGTTCAAGAGTCTAAGCAGTGTTTTACTGGGCTTGCTCCCAAGATGCACATTGGCATCAGGTGCACTGTACGTGTCTATAAGTTTTCTGTACCAGTGGGACAGCTGAGTCATGTTCTTATGACACAAATAGAAATGTAATAGAGTAAGAGAAACATGTGATATGCCTTAATCCTAGAATCCAAATCCACATGCTATCAGTTCTGACAACACTCAATAAGCCAAAGAAAGTCAGAGTCCAATCTCAGCATCAGTGGGACCAAAAAATATATTTTGGCATTAATGAGAAGTGAAAAGTCATATGATGAATAAAGAATTTGAAGCAATAACACAATTTTATCCATTTTATCTTTTTATTAGCAGAAGTTCTTAATTTTGATGCAGTCTATTTTATTCTTCCTTATTCTTCAGTTGCTACTGCTTTTTATGCCCTGTTTTGGAATTCTGCCCATCCCAAGTTCATGAAACTATTGTCCTATAATTTATTCTAAAAGCTTTGTAGTTTTATGTTTTGTATTTAGATCTTAAATCCAAGTGGAACTGATTTACTGTTTGGCATAAAATAAGGGTCTAAATGTATTTATTTTTTTCATATGGATAGTCAATTGACCCAACAGCATGAATATGCAAGACTATCCTTCATCCAGCGCACTACAGTGTTATGTATATTAAAAATAAAATAAAAACAGGTGACTGTGAATCTGTTTCTGAGTTCTCTTCTCTATTCCAAAATTATAATTTTTAATGCTTATACCAATATCACATTGTCTTCATAACTATAGATCTGAATGTCTTGTTACATAGTATGTAGGTCCTCTAGTTTTACTCTTTATCAATATTGCCTTTGCTATTCTTGATCCTCAATATAAATTTTAGAATCCTTGTATCAATAATCATGTCCTCCCCAACATATACATACAACCTCTGGAATTTTAAATGGGTTAACATTAAATTTATCAAATGGTTTTAAGAAAGTTGATATAGTTACCATATATGAGTCTTCCAATGCATAAACATGTTATGCTTAATTTATATATTCTTTAATGTCTCTTGGGAGTTATCATAGTTTTCAGTATAAAACTATTATATAGACTTCTTTAGTTTTATCCCTTTTTGATAATTTTGTTATGTTATAGAAATGACATTTTTATAAAATATCATTTTCAATTTTTGTATTACTAATTTATAAAAATATAGTTTCATACTTTTTCTACCTATTATGAATACATTCATAATATTTTATCAAATCTGTATTATACTCTAGGCTGTATATAATTTAGCCTTCAGCTATGTTTTCTCCAGTTTTTTCTTAATAATGTAAAACTGTTATACATAACATTTTAATAAAATCTTATTTTCAACTGTTATATTACTTATTTAAAATATGTATTAGTCCATTCACATGCTGCTCTAAGGACATACCAAAGACTTGTAATTTATAAAGGAAAGAGGTTTAATTGACTCACAGTTCCACAGGGCTAGGGAGGCCTCAGGAAACTTACAATCGTGACAGAAAAGGAAGAAAACATGTCCTTGTTCACAAGGTGACAAGAGAGAAAATAATGAGAGAAGGTGGGGAAAGCCCCTTAGAAAACCATCAGATCTCATGAGAATTTACTATCACAAGAACAGCATGAGGGTAGTCACCCTCGTGATTCAATTACCTTCCACCAGGTTCCTCCTACTACACGTGAGGATTATGGGAACTATAATTCAAGATGAGAATTGGGTGGAGACACAGCTAAATCATATCAAAAGATAAATTCGGTGTTTTAAATAGACCTGTTCTCAAATAATCTTATAATCAAAAATTAATGCTAATTGTGCGGCTGTTGATTATTTCAGGATTTCTACTTATTTGGTCATGTTATCTTGAAATGATGGCAATTTTATTTATTCTATTCAAGTACTTAAGAATTCAAAATGTTTCTTGCTTTATTTCTATTTTGCTTAATAGTGCTATACCAGCTTTATACTATGAATAGTATCTACTTTTCCTTATTGTTGCATTCAATCTTTATATGTACTTATATTTAAAGACTCATTATTTGCATTTCACAGTCCTCACCAATTTTTATTAAGTCTGACAATCTTAGCCTTTAAATTGGAGCACTTAATAAATTTACATTTAATTTATTGCCTGTTTTAGTTGAATTTATATGGTAGCCATGAGAATGTGCCTCTAGGTACTCCTTGTAGTAAGCTACAAGGAGTGTAACTGACCAGGGGCAAAGCTTTTGCGCTCTGAAGTCAACATATATGCATAGAGGAAAACCTACCATGAGCTTTTCCCAGGGAGCAACAGAGTGTGGTTAAGTCAGGCTCACTCCTGGGAGATGTGGGACTCCTCTGGCATGTGACTTGACTTGAGCATGCCTCAATGACTTTGACAAATTTTCAGTCTAAGATGCTTTCTCACAGATTCTCTTACTTCCTTTCTTCTCTTCTTCACTAGAGATCAGACTTGCCCCATGATCTGATGGTGCTCTCAAATTCTCCAACCGCTCTCCCCCACCCTAGTTTCTTTTTCAGGTGTGTTTCTCCTGGTAAATTTCTTGCCATTTAATTCTCTCTTGGCAGCTGCTTCTTAGAGAACCTGAACTGACTGTTTTATCTACTATCATTCTATTTTTCTTTTATTTGTCCACCTGTTTTTATGTTCTTTATCATACTTGCATACTTTAGAATACAAAAATTATTATTCCATTCAATGATTACAACTTAATACATATAAATTATTTGCTATAACTTAGGTAGTTAACCATATGGCTTATAACATGAATCCCTGATTTATCTTGACTTAGTATAATCCAATGCAAATGATTACATTTAACACTGTTGATAATATTAAAATTTTGGTAACTTTTAACTTCATCTATAACCCATCTCCATTTCTGTGTGATTGTTGCACCGAATATTTTACCTAGTTAATACTTAATAAGCCTTATTGAGATATAATTTATATACAATAAAAATTTACCAGTGGTAGGTTTGCAATGAGACATATTTTGACAAGTGTCAGCCATCATATAACCACCATCACATTCATGTTATAAAAGATTCCTATCAGTCCCCTATTTTTTTGTTGTTATAAATCCTCCCTTCCTGCCTCTAATTCTTTGTGACGACTGATCTGCTTTTTGTCAATCTAATTGCCTTTTTTTTTTTTTGCATTTCACGTAAATGGAATCATAAAATACATAGTCTTTGTCCTCTGGCTTTTCTCCTCTTAGGAAAATACCTTTGATATTTATTCATGTTATTAAGTGTAATGGTGGTTTTTTGTATGCATTTTCTTAGGCTTTAATCATCTCTACTGAAAAGTCAAATCACAGTCTCACACTTGCTCCTTTGATGGTAATACTTTTTTTCTTTTCTGGAAGATTTTAAGATTTACTCTTTGCCTTTGATTTTTAGTGGTCTTCTTATGATGAGCGTATGGTTTGGTATTGTTTCATTTTTGTTTTTTGTTTGTTGTCTTTGTATTTATTCATGTTGGAATTTTCAAAGATTCTTAAACTTGTACATTGATACATGTCATAGTTTTGGAAAACTATTGGCCATTATCTCTTCAAATAGTGCTTCTGACCCATTTTACTGTACCCTTCTCCCGGGAGTCCAATTACATAGATAGTAGGGGTATTCTTTGAGTTCCATGTGTCTGTATTCTTATTCTACGGTATAGTTTCAGTTTGGATTATATAATAAAACATGTCTTCCAATTTACTTATTCTGGAACTAATTAATCTAACCTTGTATTAAAGCGTCCAATGAATTAAAAATTTTAGATATTATTCATCAGTTCTAGATTTTTGATTTGATTATCTTTTAAGGATTCCAGTTGTCTTGTGGAATTATTTATTGCTGTCTATTTTCTTCATCTTTTTCTTGATTGATTTAAACATATTATTTCAAAGTCATTGTCCGTTAACTCCAATATCTTGATCACCTATAAGTCTACTTTTATAGTCTTTTTTTTTTTCTATTGGTGTGTGTCATATTTTTTTAAATGGAATCCCAAATGCTAGTTTAAAAACGTAAAGGTTATTGATGATCTTACCTTTCTTAAGAGTGGATTCACTCGTTTCTGCACTAGGCAGACAGGGTGAAGAATAATCATAGTAACCAATTTGTGGGTGGTGCTGAGTCAAAGCCAGACTGAAGCCCTGGTAAGACTGAATCCTCTTTAGTTTTGCTCTTTTCTTTCTAAATTTTTTACTAAGAGTCTTTTGTGTACTGTGGGGTCCAGTCTTTTGCCACATGACAAGCCAATCTTTCTTTTTTTTTTTTTTTTTTTTTTGAGATGGATTCTCGCTCTGTGACCCAGGCTGGAGTGTAGTGGTGCAATCTCGGCTCATTGCAAGCTCCGCCTCCCGGATTCACACCATTCTCCCGCCTCAGCCTCCCAAGCAGCTGGGAATGCAGGCACCCGCCACCACGCCCAGCTAATTTTTTTTTGTATTTTTAGTAGAGACAGGATTTCGCTATTCACAGGATGGTCTCAATCTCCTGACCTTGTGATCCACCCGCCTCAGCCTCCCAAAGTGCTGGGATTACAGGCGTGAGCCACCACGCCTGGCCAACAAGCCAATCTTTCTGTTCTGCTTTTCAGCTGAGTTTTGTTTAAGTTGTGATCCCTGTATTAGTCTGTTTTCATGCTGCTGATAAAGACATACCTGAGACTGGGAAGAAAAAGAGGTTTAAGTGGACTTACAGTTTCACATGGTTGGGGAGGACTCAGAATCATAGCTGGAGGTGAAAGCCACTTCTTACATGGTGGCAGCAGGAGAAAAATGAGAAAGATGCAAAAGTGGAAATCCCCATGAAAACATCAGATCTTGTAAGACTTATTCAATACCACAAGAACAGTATGAGGGAAACCTCCCACTGGATTAAATTATCCAGTGGGAGGAACCCAGTGGAGGATTAAATTATCTCCCACTGGTTCCTCCCACAACATGTAGGAATTATGGGAGTACAATTCAAGATAAGATTTAGGTAGGGACACAACCAAACCATATTATTTCACCCCTGGCCCCTGCAAATCTCATGTCCTCACATTTCAAAACAAATCATGCCTTCCCAACATTCCCCCAGAGTCTTAACTCATTTCAGCATTAACCCAAAAGCCCACAGTCCAAAGTCTCATCTGAGACAAGTCAAGTCCCTTCTGCCTATGAGCCTGTAAAATCAAAACTAAGCTAGTTACTTCCCAGATACAATGGGGGTACGGGTATTTGGTAAATACAGCCATTCCAAATGGGAGAAATTGGCCAAAACAAAGGGGTTATAGGGCCCATGCAAGTCTGAAATCCAGTGGGGCAGTTAAATCTTCAAGCTCCAAAATGATTTCCTTTGACTCCAGGTCTCACATCCAGGTCATGCTGATGCAAGAGGTGGGTTCCCATGGTCTTCATCAGCTCAGCCCCTGTGGCTTGGCAGGGTATAGATAGCCCCTCAATCCTGGCTGCTTTCACAGGCTGGCATTGAGTGTCTGCAGCTTTTCCAGATGCACAGTGCAAGCTGTCATTGGATCTATCATTCTGGGGTCTGCAGAACAGTGGGCCTCTTCTCACAGCTCCATGAGGCAATGCCCTAGTAGGGACTCAGTGTGGCTGTTCCTACCCCACATTTCTCTTCTGCACTGCCTTAGCAGAGATTCTTCATGAGGGCCCCACCCCTGCAGCAAACTTTTGCCTGGGCATCCAGGCATTTCCATACATCTTCTGAAATCTAGGTGGAGGTTCCCAAACTCCAATTCTTGACTTCTGTGCAACTTCAGGCTCAACACCTCAAGGAAGCTGCCAAGGCTTGGGGCTTTCACCTTCTGAAGTCACAGGTTGATCTGTACCTTGGCCCCTTTTAGTCATGGCTGGAGAAACTGGGATACAGGGCACCAAGTCCCTAGGCTGCACACACCACAGGGACCCTTGGCCCAGCCCATGAAATTATTTTCTCCTGGGCCTCCAGGCCTGTGATGGGAGGGGCTGCCCTGAAAACCTCTGACATGCCCTAGAGACATTTTCCCTATTGTCTTGGGGATTAACATTTGACTCCTCATTACTTATGCAAATTTCTACAGCTAGCTTGAATTTCTCCTCAAAAAATGGGTTTTCTTTTCTACTGAATGGTCAGGCAGCAAATTTTCCCAACTTTTATGCTCTGTTTCTCTTTTAAAATGGAATGCTTTTAACAGCACCCAAGTCATCTCTTGAATGCTTTTCTGCTTAGAAATTTCTTCCTCCAGATATCCTACATCATCTCTCTCAAGTTCAAAGTTCCACAAATCTCTAGGACAGGGGCAAAATGCCACCAGTCTCTTTACCCTAAATCATCTCCCTCAAGTTCAAAGTTCCATAAATCTCTATGGCAGGGGCAAAATGCCACAAGTCTCTTTGCTAAAACATAATAAGAGTTGCCTTTGCTCCAGTTTCCAACAAGTTCCTCATCTCTATCTGAGACCATCTCAGCCTGGACCTTATTGTTTGTGTCACTATCAGCATTTTTGTCAAATCCATTCAACAAATCTCTAGGAGGTTCCAAACTTTCCCACATTTTCCTGTCTACTTCTGAGCCCTCCAAACTATTCCAACCTCTGCCTGTTACCCAGTTCCAAAGTTGCTTCACATTTTCAGGTATCTTTTCAGCAACATCCCACTCCCAGTACCAATTTACTGTATTAGTCCATTTTCATGCTGCTGATAAAGACATACCTGACACTGGGAAGAAAAGGAGGTTTAATTGAACTTACAGTTCCACATGGCCGGGGAGGCCTTAGAATCATGGTGGGAGATGAAAGGCACTTCTTACATGGCAGTGGCAAGAGAAAAATGAGGAAGATGCAAAAGCGGAAACCTCTGATAAACCCATCAGATCTCATGAGACTTATTCACTACCATGAGAAGAGTATGGGGAAAACCTATTCCATGATTCAAATGATCTCCCACTGGGTCCCTCCCACAACACAGGGGAATCATGGGAGTACAATTCAAAATGAGATTTGGGTGGGGATACAGCCAAATCATATCAGTCCCCTGCTCTTCAAACAAAACTAGACTTCAGCAAATATACTGAGAAGATAATTAACCATGGAAATCAGGTCTCTAATGTCTGCCAAAGCTCTACCATTTCTGTCCCTATCAGCAAAGGCCTTTTGAGTTCTAACTCCTATATTTTTTGGCCCTCTTCCTATAGCCGAAATTATTAAATGTCTCCTGGGTAAAAGCAATTTCAGGGGGATAAGTTTATCTCTGATGGCCCTTCTCCAATGAGTCCTTCTTGTTCATGTTGTTGTCTGTTCACTGTATTCAGACAGATGATTTTCATATTTTGTTCAATTATTTTATTGCTATAGATAAGGATACTGGTTTAATATAAGTTACATTTTTCCATTCACAAGTAGAAAGCTTTTCTTCTATATAATTGAGTTTTAAAATCTATTTTCTTATACTTTATGGAAGTTTTCCTATATGTGGCTATTTCCTTGAAGAGACTGAAACCATGAACATCTTGAGGGAAGAAATCATCATTAATTGAATATTTTTTGTAATACATACAATTTTATACTTTCAGAGGTGGATTATGTCAGATTCTTTTGGACATCTAGTAAATCACATGAACTATGATGAGAACAAAATTTTCACATGTGAACACACACTGAAATATTTGGATATAATTGTGGGTTCAATAACATATACATCTCGTGCATTTTTTGTCTAGGCTTTGGAGACCCTGGTCAAAAACCCCTACAAGGAAGTTATTAGGAAATGAGTGACTTATCTAGTTTCTACTGTCACACTTTGAGTCCTATATTATGACAAAGCATTATGTTTCTACAACTATAATTTTAATTTAAAGACCAAATGAGTAGTAACAATACATTTAATGAGCATTTGTGAATTTTGGTTGGCCTGCATTTAATTTTATATGCTGAAACCAGTTTAACTTTAAGAAAATTTTATCTTTACTTTTTGATGAATCAAGATACTTCATGGTACCATTACAAAAGTCAACAGATATCACGGAGGCTTCTTCTACCCCATAGGTGTTTTCTTCAATCAGTGCTTTCAAGAGGTTGGGCAGTAACCTTAGTTTTATCAGTTGACTCTTCTCTTCCAAGACTCTGATGTTAAGTTGAACAAGGCAAGAATAGAATTTATAGTTAGAGTGTGTAAACTCTGTTGTCAATGCCTGAAAGAGATTGAAGAACAATTCCTGTTACTGAAACATTTTGAGTTTCCCAGTAGAATTTACTCCATGACTTTTTTAGAAGGTCCTCACTCTATCTTTACAATAATTTCTTCTATTTGCTTATTAAAGAGTCAACTAACATGCCCAAGTAAACACATTAACACATCATCAGGCATTAAGCACTATCTTAACATAATTTATTATTGTTCACTTCTGGAGCAAGCAGGTCTTTGCTTTTTCTTTCTTCTTTTTTTTTTTATTATACTTTAAGTTCTTGGATACATGTGCACAACATGCAGGTTTATTACATAGGTATACATGTGCCATGTTGGTTTGCTGCATCCATCAACTCGACATTTACACTAGGTAGTTCTCCTAATGCTATCCCTCCCTCTAACAGGCCGCAGTGTGTGATGTTCCCCGCCGTGTCCAAATGTTCTCATTGTTCAATTCCCACCTATGAGTGAGAACATGCAGTGTTTGGTTTTCTGTCCTTGTGATAGTTTGCTGAGAATGACAGTTACCATCTTCATCCGTGTCCCTGCAAAGGACCAGAACTCATCCTTTTTATGGCTGTATAGTATTCCATGGTGTATATGAGCCAAATTTTCTTTATCCAGTCTATCATTGATGGACATTTGGGTTGGTTCCAAGTCTTTGATATTGTGAATAGTGCCACAATAAACATATATGTACATGTATCTTTATAGTAGCATGATTTATAATCTTTTGGGTATATATCCAGTAATGGGATCTCTGGGTCAAATGGTACTTCTAGTTCTAGATCCTTGAGGAATCACCACACTGTCTTCAACAATTGTTGAACTAATTTACACTCCCACCAACAGTGTAAAAGCATTCTTGTTTCTCCACATCCTCTCCAGCATCTGTTGTTTCCTGACTTTTTAATTATCGCCATTCTAACTGGTGTGAGATGGTATCTCATTGTGGTTTTGATTTGCATTTCTCTGATGACCAGTGATAATGAGCATTTTTTTCATTTGTCTGTTGATGGCATAAATGTCTTTTTTTGAGAAGTGTCTGTTCATATCCTTTGCTCACTTTTTGATGGGGTTGTTTGTTTTTTCTTGTAAATTTGTTTAAGTTCTTTGTAGATTCTGGATATTAGCCCTTTGTCAGATGGTTAGATTACAAAGATTTTCTCCCATTCTATAGGCTGCCTGTTCACTCTGATGGTAGTTTCTTTTGCCCTGCAGAAGCTCTGTAGTTTAATTAGATCCCATTTGTCTATTTTGGCTTTTGTTGCCATTGCTTTTTGTGTTTTAGTCATGAAGTCCTTGCCCACACCTATATCCTGAATGGTACTGCCTAGGTTTTCTTCCAGGGTTTTTCTGGTTTTAGGTCTAACATTTAAGTCTTTAATCCATCCTAAGTTAATTTTTGTATAAGGTGTAAGGAAGGGATCCAGTTTCGGCTTTCTACATATGCCTAGCCAGTTTTCCCAGCACCATTTATTAAATAAGGAATCCTTTCCCCATTTCTTGTTTTTCTCAGTTTGTTAAAGATCAGATGGTTATAGATGTGTGGTGTTACTTCTGAGGCTTCTGTTCTGTTTCATTGGTCTATATATCTGTTTTGGTACCAGTACCATGCTGTTTTGGTTACTGTAGCCTTGTAGTATAGTCTGAAGTCATGTAACGTGATGCCTCCAGCTTTGTTCTTTTTGCTTAGGATTGTCTTGACAATGCAGGCTCTTTTTTGGTGCCATATGAAGTTTGAAATAGTTTTTTTCCAATTCTGTGAAGAAAGTCATTGGTAGCTTGATGGGGATGGCATTGAATCTGTAAATTACCTTGGGCAGTATGGCCATTTCCACAATATTGATTCTTCCTGTCTATGAGCATGGAATGTTCTTCCATTTGTTTGTGTCCTCTTTTATTTTGTTGAGCAGTGGTTTGTAGTTCTCCTTGAAAAGGACCTTCATATCCTTTGTAAGTTGGATTCCTAGGTATTTTATTCTCTTTGTAGCAATCGTGAATGGTAGTTCACTCATGATTTGGCCCTCTGATTGTCTGTTATTGGTGTATGGGGATGCTTGTGATTTTTGCACAATGTTTTTGTATCCTGAGACTTTGGTGAAGTTGCTTATCAGCTTAGGGAGATTTTGGGCTGAGATGATGAGGTTTCCTAAATATACAATCATGTCATCTGCAAAGAGGGACAATTTGACTTCCTCTTTTCCTAATTAAATATCTTTTATTTCTTCCTCTTGCCTGATTGCCCAAGCCAGAACTTCAAACACTTTCTTGAATAGGAGTGGTGAGAGAGGGCATCCTTGTCTTCTGCCAGTTTTCCAAGGGAATGCTTCCAGTTTTTGCCCATTCAGTATGATCTTGGCTGTGAGTTTGTCATAAATAGCTCTTATTATTTTGAGATACGTTCCAACAATACTCAGTTTATTGAGACTTTTTAGCATGAAGGGCTGTTGAATTTTGTTGAAGGCCTTTTCTGCATCTATTGAAATAATCATATGTTTTTTGTCCATGGTTCTGTTTATGTGATGGGTTACATTTAGTAATTTGTGTATGTCGAACCAGCCTTGCATCCCAGGGGTGAAGCTGACTTGATTGTGGTAGATAAGCTTTTTGATGTGGTGCTGGATTTGTTTTGCCAGCATTTTATTGAGGATTTTCACATCAATGTTCATCAGGGATATTGGTCTAAAATTCTCTTGTTTTGTTGTGTCTCTGCCAGGCTTTGGTATCAGGATGATAACTCATTTTATGCTGGCCTCATAAAATGAGTTAGGGGGGATTCCCTCTTTTTCTATTGATTGGAATAATTTCGGAAGGAATGCAACCAGCTCCTCTTTGTACCTCTGGTAGAATTCAGCTGTGAATCCACCTGGTCCCGGACTTTTTTTGTTGGTAGGCTATTAATTATTGCCTCAATTTCGGAGCCTGTTATTGGTCTATTCAGAGATTCAGTCTTCTTCCTGATTTAGTCTTGGGAGGGTGTATGTGTTGAGGTATTTATCCATTTCTTCTAGATTTTCTAGTTTATTTGCATAGAGGTGTTTATAGTATTCTCTGATGGTAGTTTGTATTTCTGTGGGATCGGTGGTGATATCCCCTTTATCATTTTTTATTGCGTCTATTTTATTCTTCTTTCTTGTCATTATTAGTCTTGATAGAGGTCTATCAATTTTGTTAATCTTTCCATAAAACCAGCTTCTAGATTCATTGATTTTTTGAAGGGATCTTTGTGTTTGTATCTCCTTCAGTTCTGCTCTGATCAAGTTATTTCTTGCCTTCTGCTAGCTTTTGAACGTGTTTGCTCTTGCTTCTCTAGTTCTTTTAATTGTGATGTTAGGATGTCAATTTTAGATCTTTTCTGCTTTCTCTTGTGGGTATTTAGTGCTATAAATTTCCCTCTACACACTGCTTTAAATGTGTCCCAGAGATTCTGGTACATCATGTCTTTGTTCTCATTGCTTTCAAAGAACATCTTTATTTCTGCCTTCATTTTGTTATTTACCCAGTAGTCATTCAGGAGCAGGTTGTTCTGTTTCCAGGTAGTTGTGTGGTTTTGAGGGAGTTTCTTAACCCTGAGTTCTAATTTGATTGCACTGTGGTCTGAGAGACAGTTTGTTGTGATTTCTGTCCTTTTCCATTTGCTGAGGAGTGCTTTACTTCCCATTATGTGGTCAATTTTAGAATAAGTGTGATATGGTGCTGAGAAAAATGTATATTCTGTTGATTTGGGGTGGAGAGTTCTGTAGATGTCTATTAGGTCTGCTTGGTGCAGAGCTGAGTTCAAGTCCTGGATATCTTTGTTAACCTTCTGTCTCATTAATCTGTATAATATTGACAGTGGGGTGTTAAAGTCTCCCATTTTTATTGTATGAGAGTCTAAGTCTCTTTGTAGGTCTCTCAGGACTTCCTTTATGAATCTGGGTGCTCCTGTATTGGGTTCATATATATTTAGAATAGTTAGATCTTCTTGTGGAATTGATCCCTTTACCATTATGTAATGACCTTCTTTGTCTCTTTTGATCTTTGGTGGTTTAAAGTCTGTTTTATCAGAGACTAGGATTGCAGCCCCTGCTTTTTTTGTTTGTTTGTTTGTTTGCTTTCCATTTGCTTGGTAAATCTTCCTCCATCCTTTTATTTTGAGCCTATATATGTCTCTGCACATGAGATGGGTCTCCTGAATACAGCACATTGATGGGTCTTTCCCTATACACACTGCTTGAAATGTCTCTATCCAATTTGCCTCTATCCAATTTGCCAGTCTATATCTTTTAATTTGGGCATTTATCCCCTTTACCTTTAAGGTTAATATTGTTATGTCTGAATTTCATCCTGTCATTACAATGTTAGCTGGTTATTTTGCTCGTTAATTGATGCAGTTTCTTCATAGCATCAATGGTCTTTAAAATTTGGCATGTTTTTGCAGTGGCTGGTACCGGTTATTCCTTTCCATATTTAGTGCTTCCTTCAGGAGCTCTTATAAGGCAGGCCTGGTGATGACAAAATCTCTCAGCATTTGCTTGTCTGTAAAGGATTTTATTTCTCCTTCACTTATGAAGCTTAGTTTGGCTGGATATGAAATTCTGAGTTGAAAATTCTTTCCTTTAAGAATGTTGAATATTGGCCCCCACTCTCTTTTGGCTTGTAGGGTTTCTGCTGAGAGATCTACTGTTAGTCTGATGGGTTTCCCTTTGTGGGTAACCCAACCTTTCTCTCTGGCTGCCCTTAACATTTTTTTCCTTCGTTCCAACCTTGGTGAATCTGACAATTATGTGTCTTGGGGTTACTCTTCTCGAGCATTATCTTTGTGGTGTTCTCTGTATTTCCTGAATTTGAATATTGGCCTGCCTTGCTAGGTTGGGGAAGTTCTCCTGGATAATATCCTGAAGAGTGTTTTCCAACTTGGTTCCATTTTCCCTGTCACTTTCAGGTACACCAATCAAATGTAGATTTGGTCTTTTCACATAGTCCCATATTTCTTGGAGGCTTTGTTCATTTCTTTTCACTCTTTTTTCTCTAACCTTGTGTTCTCACTTTATTTCATTAATTTTATATTCAATCACTGATATCCTTTCTTCCACTTGATCGAATTGTTTATTGAAGCTTGTGCATGCATCACGAAATTCTTGTGCCATGGTTTTCAGCTCCATCAGGTCATTTAACGTCTTCTCTACACTGTTTATTCTAGTTAGCCATTGATCTAACCTTTTTTCAAGGTTTTTACCTTCCTTGTGATGGGTTAGAAGATGCTCCTTTACCTCAGAAAAGTTTGTTATTACCGACCTTCTGAAGCCTACTTCTGTCAACTCGTCAAAGTTATTCTCCATCCAGCTTTGTTCTATTGCTGGTGAGGAGCTGTGATCCTTTGCAGGAGAAGAGGCACTCTGGTGTTTAGAATTTTCAGCTTTTCTGCTCTGGTATCTCCCCATCTTTGTGGTTTTATCTACCTTTGGTCTTTGAGGTTGGTGACCTACAGATGGGGTTTTGGTGTAGGTGTCCTTTTTTTCATGTTGGTGCTATTCCTTTCTGTTTGTTAGTTTTGCTTCTAACAGCCAGGTCCCTAAGCTGCAGGTCTATTGGAGTTTGCTGGAGGTCCACTCCAGACCTCGTTTGCCTGGGTATCACCAGTGGAGGCTGCAAAACAACAAATATTGCAGAACAGCAAATATTGCTGCCTGATCCGTCCTAGGGAAGCTTTGTCCCAGAGGGGCGCTTTCCTGTATGAGGTGTCTGTTGGCCCTTACTGGGAGGTGTCTCCCAGTTAGGCTACATGTGGGTCAGGGACCCACTTGAGGAGGCAGTCTGTCAGTTCTCAGGGCTCAAATGGAGCTACTGCTCTCTTCAGAGCTGTCAAACAGAGACTTTTAACTTTGCAGGAGTTTCTGCTGCCTTTTGTTCAGCTATGCCCTACCACAGAGGTGGAGTCTATAGAGGCAGTAGGCCTTGCTGTGCTGTGGTTGGCTCTGCCCAGTTCAAGCTTCCTGGCTGCTTTGTTTACCTACTCAAGCCTCAGCAATGGTGGATACCCCTCCCCCCACCAGGCTGCAACCTCTCAGGTTGATGTCAGACTGCTGCGCTAGCAGTGAGGTAGGCTCCGTGCATGTGGGACCCACTGACCCAGGCATGGGAGAGAATCTCCTGGTCTGCTGGTTGCTAAGACCATGGGAAAAGTGCAGTATTTGGGTGGGAGTATCCCATTTTTCCTGGTACAGCCTGGCACAGCTTCCCTTGGCTAGGAAAGGGAAATCCCCTGACCCTGTGTGCTTCCCGGTTGAGGCAACACCCTGCCCTGCTTCAGCTTGCCCTCTATGGGCTGCACCCACTGTCCAACCAGTCACAATGAGATGAACCAGGTACCTCAGTTGCAGAAATCAGCTGTCTTCTGCATTAATCACACTGAGAGCTGCAGACCAGAGCTGTTCCTATTTGTCCATCTTGGAACAGACTAGCAAGCAGGTATTAAGATGGGAATATTTTAATTAAGGTAAGGGGAGAGGAGCAAAGAGATAGGGCAGCTATATAGCACACCAGATGGGGGCAGCACGTATTACTATAAATTGATGAGCTTCCTAAATTCTGTAAATTTACTATTTTTTCCTCTAAAGTTAATTCTGAGCTTGACATTCTCAACAGTATCACCATTTTTATTATCTTTTTCATTTCCATCCTTCATACCTGAATATAGCATAGTAGTTTTTAAAGCAATTTTTCTTTCTTTTTTTTTCAAGATGCGATCTTGCTTTGTTGCCCAGGCTGGAGTGCAGCAGCACAATCATGCCTCACTGCATCCTTGACCTTCTAGGCTCAAGTGATCCTCCCAGCTCAGCCTCGCATGTAGCTGGGACCACAGACATGCACCACTGCTCCTGGCATTTTTTTTTTCTTATTTATAGAGGCAGGGTTTCACTATGCTGCTCATGTTGATCTCAAAGTCTTGAGCTCAAATGATCCTCCCGTTCAGCCTCCCAAAGTCCTGGGATTACAGGAGTAAGCCACCACACCCACCATAAAGCAATTTCTTATACATTAGCATGGTGTTTCTACTCCAGGAGGATAGAAATCAGTATTTTTATAGTATAGAGACATTAAAATATGGGTTTCTCAGTCTAACAGCCATGTAAAGTTTCAGAATCTCTGCTCTGTCCCTTACTAGCTATATGACCTTGAGCTTATCTTCTCTAAATTTCAGATGCTTCAACTTTTAAAAGACGATATCTATATAGCAGTATTATGAAGAGTAAATGGAATGGTATATGTAATGTGCTTGGCACAATACCTATATTGTAATAAGAACTAAAAAAAAAAAGTCTGTTATTACTATTTTTTCCATTCTTTCCAGTTGACAGGCAAATAAACCAAGTCTTCAAAATGTGAAAGACCTGCCCAAATACACAAATGGGGTAGGTAATAAAATAAGATTATGTGCTTTTACTTTGACTTCAGTATTCTACCATTATTCTTTAATATGCATAGCAATTAATTCACTATCTTTAGAGCAAGGGAAAAAAAGAGCAAAATTATATTAAAGGATGGAATATTTTTCTAAGAGAATTATACTATTATTCCCAAGTGGAAAGTAATCTGAAATAAATCTTTATAAGAGACATCAGTCTTTATATCTTTACTGTAAATATTCTCCAGAAATCAAAGCCTTCTAGAATAACTGTATATTCTTGGAAATATAAGACAAGCCAGACAGTCCCATTTTGAATCAGTGGTTTTTAAAATGCTTGAAAAGCCACAAAACAGAAAAGTGTTTCTAAGTATGAAGAGGGAAATGTGACTAGTACATAGAAACCATACATTCGATTTACTGTAGAGAGGAAAATGTTAAAGAAGCTAACTTTGTGATTTGAATTGACTCTATTTGTTCATTTCAGTGAAGCCGTTCAAAAAGTAATAGTCCCTTATAATGAAAATAGAAAAACGGCATGAATAGGTGAGATACAGAATGTGCATTAAAAAGGGAAAAGAGAAGCTCTGAGTTTGTTAAAAATGAATAATATTTTCATAAAATTTTAGAGGTAGAGATAACTTTAGAGGTGTTAGCCCATTATTTTCCTTTTAGAGATGAGGAAATGGACAATTAGAAAGCTTTAATGCCATTTTAAAGTCCATACAGTTAGGTAGGGGTAAGCCCAAGTTCAGACATTCTGATTCTTGTACTATTTTGCATTTTTCAACAGAGATTTCTCTTACCAACTGCTTATCTGTTAACTTTGAATACAAGCTGTAAAAACTCAGTAGCTTCTGATAACTTTTTTGTGGATTTTGAAAAGTTTAGTGAATATTTGTTGGGACCTGGCTCCAAAGATGACACCACAGGCATCGCATATCCAAATATTTTCTGGTCTCTAACAAATAAAAACAATTGTAATAACAATTTCAAGTCTATTTGAAAGCACATACACAATATTTAGAAGACCACCAGTGCAGTCTAGCAGAGTATAAAACACAGAATTTAAAATTCCAAGACAGTCAGCACAATGGTACTTAATGGCAGCAGTTAATTCCATTGCCACTTGAATCCATTTACCCAGCGTCTTTTCTTCTTCATAAAGTAATAGTGGAATTGGTGATGGGTCTGTATCTAAATGTTGTCTATACCCTCCCAGGGATGGGTGAGGAATAACTGAGAAAATAGATGCGGGGAGAATTGAGCAATGAAGTTCTCTTCTCCCATCACCTCCAGAGTCCAAGTCCCCATGATGCTTCATTTGGCTCTCTAGTCATTATTCTTCCTCCTTCCCCTTATTATGTCCCTGTAGCTAGAGTCATTATTTAAATATTCACATGTGACCATGCCTCATCTTGGTAAAAACCATTTAGAGGTTCCTGTTGTTTTTCCAATTACGGATCTACTACTCTTACTACCTATAACTTTTATCATTTGATCAACATGTGGCTAAATTTTTCTAATTGTTTAGGTCTCAACTCAAATATTTCTCCCACCACCCAACCACCCACTGTACCCTATAGCAGACATTCTCTGTCCCATAGCCTGTTGTATTTTCTGTATCACTTTATACTGTCTTATATTATCTTATTTACTTCTAAATTTACACATATTTTACCTTTCCCCCACAGCATAGTATAATGTTTCATGAAGCAAGAAACTTTCTATGTTTTTATAGTTATATTCTTTATACCAAAATTTGTCTCTCAGATAATAGGGAGCTCAATAATATTTATTGCAAGAGTGAATACATTAATACATGTTTGAGGTACCTGAACCTGTCCTGTCCTTCCAGTTTCTTTTTGGGATATTTAATTTATAATTCTGCAATGTTTTAGAGCCTTGACTGACTTACTTAAATAATTGTAGGAGTCTGATGAATAGTTGCCTAAGGATAACTTTCTTTCCATAGGCACCATATATTTGGAGAGGAAATTGAGACAGCAATGTGGTTTAACTACCTCCTGCAATCTCCCTGATTACATAATTACCAACTCCTTGGGTTTTCCATTCTGTTAAATTTATTTCCTTTTGTAACATCTACTGGCAATTAGACTAAAGGACAATTTTAATTAAGATAATATATATAAGGAAATGCAGAAAATAGGAAAGAGTGAGTGGGATTTGATTGCTGTAACTCCATCTTCAGTTAGATAATCCATACCTATAGTGTCCTTTGGAATTCTGGACTCTGAGTTTATTAGTTTCCTGTGGTTGCTGTGACAAATAACCACAAACTAGGTAGCTTAAAACAACAGAAATGTATTTCCTCACTGTTCTTGAGGCCAGAAATCCAAAATCATGGGATAGTCAGGGATGCACTCCCTTTGGAGGCTCTAGAAGAGAATATAGTTTTTGCTTCTTCCAGGTTCTGATGACTATTGGCATTTTCTGACTTGTGGCTGCATCTCTGTACTTCATCTTTACATTACACTTCTCTCTCTCTTTCTCTCTTCTTCTGTCTGTAAGATTCCTCTGCCTTTTATTTATTTATTTAGAGACAGAGTCTCACTTTGTCGCCCAGGCTGGAGTGCAGTGGTATGATCTCGGTTCACTGCAACTTCTGCCTCCCGGGTTCAAGGGCTTCTCCTGCCTCAGCCTCCTGAGTAGCTGGGATTATAGGTGCCTACCACCACACCTTGCTAATTTTTGTATTTTTACTAGAGATGTGGTTTCCCCATGTTGGCCAGGCTGGTTTCGAACTCCTGACCTCAGGTGATCTGCCCACCTCAGCCTCCCAAAGTCCTGGAATTACAAGTGTGAGCCACTGTTCCCAGCTCTCTACCTTCTTTTTAAAGGAATACACATGATAAAATTTAAGACCAACTCAGAAAATCCAGGATAATCTCCTCATCTCATGATCTTTTAGCTTAATTATTTACAGCTACAAAAAAAAAATTACTAGATAAGGTAACACAACAGCCACATGTTCCAGGGAAGAAGAACTGACATTTTTTGTGTCTGTCATTCAAACCACTGTATACAGTTAGGAGGAATGTTGTTATAAGTCTACTAGATCCCTTCACGATAGATGAATGTTCACAATTGCCTTGCCAGTAGGTGGCCTTTCAATATCTGTTTCAAATTTCCAGGTAAAGGGTGCTCAGTACCTCCCCAGCAATTTTCTCTGTTCATTCTTATTGTTAAAAAATAAATAAATTCCCAGCAATGAGGCAGATCTCCCCAATGTCTCCCTCCCAGTTCAGTCCTAATCACATGTAGCCTTTGCTATGTATCTACTGTTACCTGGATCCAGTTGTCAATTTAGTCAGGGCTGCAAGAACCCAAGGAGACTAAGTATCATATGAAGATAAAATCTGAAAAGTTTCTGGAAGCCAATATGGCAAGTAAGTTTGCCCTGACTACTACTCTCTGTTGGACTAAAGTGGCTAGGTTTCCAGTTTGGTTTCTGTAGCTGGGACTAGAGCCCAATCTCAACTCTAGTTTACTGAGATAAGATCCTGACACCTCTCTGAGTTTGTTCTTTAATCTTCTCCAGATTGAATGTTGTTTCCCATATCTACCCTCCCATATACTTCTTAGCTGTTGACTTGGATCCTGTTCTGAATGGACAAATCCGTTGGAAGTATCCACTTTTGCTATGCTACATGTTTTAACTAGCAGATTGACCACCTTCAGTACCAGCGTGACCCTGGAACAAGTAGGACAGCCTTCTATGCTTTCTCCATGCTAGGATCCAGCCTAGGGCTAATTTTCCCAGCCTTATCCATTCACTTATTTCATCAAATTTATTTTAGCTAATCCTCATACTGTTTTGAAGGAAATGCTTTTATTATTTCCATTTTACAGATGACATACCTAAGGCACAAAGTTGCCTTTAGTCCGGACTTAGCCAAATTGTGATTTCTACCCTCTGAAGCTATAAAGAAGTCTCAACTTTCTTCTGTATGGAAGTCCATCTCTTAAATATATTCCCATGCTTTTCCTTCTCCAGGTTAAACAACAATTCCTAGAAACTCTTCATCTTGGAATATGTTTTCTATCTCCTTCTTTTCTTCCTTCTTTCCTATTTTTTAAAAATTACCCATAACACAAATTATCATTCTCAACCTCTCTCTCTCACTTTTCCCACCCCTCTTTCTTCCCTCCTCCCTTGCTCAAATAAGGCCTTGCTTGTCCCTAACTCTGATGCCTCAGATATGTCTGAGCACGTAACCAAATCATACCCCCAGATTTCCTTGTGTATCTATCATTTCTTCAGGGCTTGGAAAAGCCACTTTTCTTCCCTTTAGAGAGGTATCAAATTTGGTTACCATTACTTTTTGTGCCACTTAAAGCCATTGATAGAATGTTCGACTCTTTTAGCAGAAGTGTAATATCATAATAGCACTGCAAAGCATGTCAAACTACTGGACATCTTTCAGGCTGAGTGAATTTTGAGGCAGTGTTCAATGTGAACTGTTATCCATCTTCTGTAGCAGTATTTCTCTTTTCTTACAGAAACCCCACTCTTTTTTCTTCATAGCACTTTTTATATCTCCTCTAATTAACACAATGTCATTCTAATCTCTTTGATGAAATTAGTGTGTTTGGTATTTCTATATCTTTTTGTATGATTGAAAAATAATCTTCACTTTGCTTGAGTTTTTTTTTTTAAGAAAACATCTTAAATCAATAGAGTGTTTTTTTTTTTTTCCATCATTAAAATATTGCAAATAGGTCTTAGAAATCACCTGGCATCTTGTTTCTGAAGCTGGACAACTCTTAGGTCTTATTCATCAGACTGCTGAACTATTCCTTTTTCAGAGACATAGATAGTATCCAAAAAGTTTCTGATATTCTTGTTTTTAACTGTTACAGCTTTCTCAATCAAAGTAGCTGAATTTGAAACAAGTCCAATGTCATTTACTTCAAGGATTAACTCATCTTTCTGGGATTGAGATACTGAACAAGCAGCACCTGGCCTCTGCAGATGTATTTTTCACCCAATAAATTTCTAATTCAACCAGATCCCCTTTGTAATGGGTAATGACATTGATGGAGAAGTGAGCACACATGGACCTCATGTTGCAGTGGAAGCCCAGTGCAACCCCCTTGCTCATGTTCTATTAATGACTACAAAGAGTTCAAACAATAGTCAGTTCCTTTGTATTTCCCCACTGTTTGCCAACCCAGAGCCTCTTCTTTGTCTTTCCAAGGAGACTGAGATCTACACTGATGTGGTTGAAGTTCCTCTGCAGGGTCTCTCTGGGGCGCTTCACAATATTTGTTTGTCCCTTCAGAGTGATGTTGACATTTTCTGGAATGTCGACAGTCTGCTGAGAATGTCTTTATTCTCGCAGTAGATGCAGCAAGGAGCTACTTCACTTGATTTTTAAGAAAGGTTCTTTCTTAAACAAAAAAAAAAAACAAGTGTCACATTTCTTTCACAGCCCTCAAAGGAACCTAATATAATTAGAGATGTATAAAAGTCAGTAGTCCTGATATAAGACGTATTGAGAAGAAAAAGAAGGCTAGAGACAGATGAAAAGGGCATGTAACTGAATTTGTCTGTGTTCAGATCTGTTGTATCCCCAGTCCAAACTCTAGTCTATTATGTCCAACATGATTCAGAAGTATAACAGTCATCTCAAACGTAACTGAGCTCTTGATTAGTCCCCATGCCCCCATGACAGGACTGTTACTCTTTCAGTGTTCTCCTTCTAGTGATGGGGATATTTTTCTTCTAGTTGCCCAAACAGAAAAATTGAAGTCATCTTAACTCTTCTCTTCTTCTTACACCACATATACAATCTGTTCATAAATTCTTCATACTCTATCTTTAACTATATCCTGGATTTAAGCACTTCTTATTGCCTTCACTGCAACAACCCTGGTCCCTTCTACCACAATCTTACCTAGATTATTGCAGATGTCTCTTAATTGGTATCTCTGTTTCCATCATTGATCTTCCACAATTTATTGTCTACATAGCAACAGTACACGGAAGTCATACTATATCATGTCTATGCTTAAAACCAGCAGCCTCCCATTACACGCAAAGTAATTTCCAAATCCCTTAACATGGTGTATAAGGCCTTAGTTTATTTGATCTTCAGATGGTTCATTGTTCTCATTTTTACTATTTCTCCCTCTTTCACTATACTTCAGATTCCACAGCCACTTTGCTCTTTCGAGAAACTCAAACATTTGAGATACACTGCATCTTAGGGTCTTTGCATGTGCTGCCGCTTTAAAATGTTCTTTTTTTTTTTTTTTTTTTTTTTTGACATGGATTCTTGCTCTGTCACCCAGGCTGGTGTGTTGTGGTGCGATCTCAGCTCGCTGCAGCCTCTGCCTCCTGGGTTCCAGCAGTTCTGCCTAAGCCTCCTGGGTAGCTGGGATTACAGGTGCCCGCTGCCACACCTGGATAATTTTTGCATTTTTAGTAGAGACAGAGTTTTACCACGTTGGCCAGGCTGCTCTGGAACTCCTGACCTCAGGTGATCTGCACGCCTTGGCCTCCCAAAGTGCTGGGATTACAGGCGTGAGCCACTGCGCCTGTCTCATAAAATGTTCTTATGCCCATATGAGTATGGCTCATATATAGCCATGAATCCTCTCACAGTCTGCTGAGGCTACTCCATCAACCAGGGACCTTCCGTGACTACCTTACTGAAAATAATAAGCCTTATCACCCTCTATGCACTAGACATTGCTTTTTTTTTTTTTTTCATGGCAGTCACCACCACGAGATCTATTGCCCATTGATATTCGTTTGTTTTGTTTTCCATCTCCCCCACGAAGGTAAGAACGAGGTACATTTTATGTTCTGTTGGCTTCCCAGTTCCTGGAATAGTGCTTGGCACATGTTAGGTACACAAGCTATTTTCTTCCAGTGAAGGAATGAAAACATAGCAAGCCTTTCTGGCTTGAAATTGGTTTGAAATTGGAGTAAAGTAGGGTGAGAACAAGTTATAGAATCAGGGAGAACTTGAGTCTGAATCTTTTTCTGGTTCTGCCCACCTTAATTTTGGCAAGTTGGTTAACTCCTATATGGATAACACACAGAATAACATATATGGATAACATATATATGTGAGAGAGATAGAGAGAGAATGACACATATAAATTACCTGGCACAGTATATGTTCCCCGGAACTCAATAAAGGTCACTTTCTGACCCTTCCTGTTTGGCCCTTCCTTCTCTAAGCCTCCCACTCGCCTTGCCTGGATGATGTCTTGGCTGGTGTCTTGAAGGACTTCCTTGCTATCAGAAAGGACTCAGTTGAGACCCATAAGGCTCCCACAACTAAGATAATTGGGGTGTCTGTGCCTGTGCTTGTTTGTAAGCTTGGCTTGTTATAACCTGTAGACGTGTTTTTCGACAGATGTTTGACATCATTTGTCTTCCAGCACAGACAGTACCTTGATTTGTGGTGCAATGTACATTCAGGTTGAAAACTGCCATCTAAATTAGTGCTGCATGAGGCAGTTTACCCAGAGCCTCATGCTGCTACTGCTAAAGGACGACTCAAATCCTCTAGCTGTGTGTGTGGGAGGGAACATGGCGGTTCCGTTTAAATACCTCTGCAGATGAACTAAGTTCTGAAAGACACATTCTCTGCAGCGCACTGTGTTTCTGTGCTGTCATTTTGTCTATTCAGTCTCAGCTGCAGTCTAACAGAGAGGGGAAGAGGTGGCCTGTGTTCTGAATCAACACGTCGTATCGTCAGCATAATGGTTAAGAGGTTGACTTCTGGACGCAGACTGCCTACACTCAAATGCTGACTTCACAACTCCTTAGCTATATGGCCTGGGCAATCCAACAGCCTCAATTTCCCCATTTGTAATATTGGGATGATCCATAATAGTACTCATCTTTTTGAGTCATTGTGAGAATTAAATAATATCTTTTAAGTAAATCACTTAGAACATTTTCTGGAAAGTTATAAGTTTTAATATTAAGTACAGATGATTATCATTATGCATACAATAAGGTGGAAGAGGAGCAGTAGTACAAAGATTAATCAGAAACGGCCACTTAATAAACCTGGTTGAATCCCCTAATAAAGACAGGCATGTGACTCTAATACAGAGCAACATGGAAACAGAAACAAAATGTACTTAAGCAAGTGGGTTACAGGGGAAGGAAGAATTCACTGGAGGCTGAGGATGGAAGTGAGGCATGTATAGGAAGGAAGGAGCTGATTTACTTGTGATCTAGAAACTGAATACTATTTAAATAGAAGTAAGCAATGTTTGACACTAAGGAAAGGCACAGGCATGATTAAAACTATTTATCTTAATGTGAGAAACTTTGAGTTCAGAGTCCTTTTATCACATGTCTTTCAGCTTTTAAGTGAGGAAATAGTATTCACATTGGCCAAGGTCAATGAGCTAGGCGTCAGGGAGCCATTATTATGCACCAGGAGCAAAGCAATTAACTTTTCACCCTATCCTAAGCTTCCCAGAAAGGAAGTTCCTGTCTCCATTTTACAGATGAGAAAACAGAACTCGGGGGGAGGGGTGATAGGTAAATTAAACTTCCCTTAGCTAGTAGAATCTGGCTGTAAACCCAGATTAACATTGTTATAGATTCTACATTCTTTCTACCCTGTCATGCTGCCTGCTAATAGATGCTGAAATTTATTCTTTCTGAATGAATGCAGAATGAATGAATGATTCATTCTTCTGAATGAATCACTAGGAGGCATTCCTGAATCCCTCTTGGTGATTAGCTCTATGTGACACACCTTTCTTCATGCCATAGCACACACAAAAGATGGCAATATTTGTCAGGCACGTTGAGAAAACTAGATGGGGTTGTCCCCAGCATCTGGCTGCCCTAAGCCTTGCCTGGACTGAGGAAATAAAGCATCTAAAAATATCTTTGATCTTGGTACACTTACATGTCATACACCTGGGCTAGAGGAGGATAACCCATTAACTCAACCCTATTAGCTGCTCCTGCCCCTGTCAGTTTCTCTGGGTTTCACTCAACCACAGGAGAAGAGATGGCACAAGGAGATCAGTGGCACAAAGAGCCCCACCACGAGTCCTGCTTAGGAAGCCACCAGCAATTCTCCTTTGCCACATGATTGAAAGCTTTGTGCAGAATGCATTTCAGAAAACGAGCATCCTCTCCAACACCATTCCTCATTTTCACTGTGCCATGAAACACCATATGTATTTATATCACACGAGTGGCAATGTTTAAAAGAAAAACCTTTTAAGTCAGTTTTCACATTATTCCAAATGATGGGAAAAGATCATTTTGTTTCTCTCTTAGGGATAGGAAGGCAGTTTTTTTTTTTAATTTTCTTCCCAGCCATCCAAAAGATCTGGTATTCCACGCCTGTGACAAGTATCCTTTAAGATGTGCAGTGTCTGGGACACATCTGGTTAGATCAGCAGTTCTTGTATAACTGGACTTAAAATGGTGTGGGTTTCTCCTTCCTGACTGAACAAACTTAGCATCCCTCCTGCCTTCAATTTGAGTGTATTTATAATCCTGTATCCAACTGCATCTGGGAATCATTTCATTGTCTGCCTGCTGAACCTGTTTGTGTCATCAGGGCTATTCTGTAGGGTCAGCCCTGCACTTTGAATCCAATTGTTTGTCTTGGACACATTTATACTTCAAACTGAGCCTTATGTGCTGGGCCTTCTTTCATTCAAAACTGGGAGTTCTATTTTGTTCCATGACCTTCAGACATCTACAGACATGCCAACATACACACTTGTATGTCAAGCAAGGTTCCTTGACAACCAGCCTGGGAAGAGCTCCAGGTCTCCTGCTTACCTGGGTGAGTAACACAGGAAGTAGCAGGGGGTACAATGCAGAGAGGACAAGAATAGCTTCAGTAGTGGCAGCTGGGAAGAAATTGTGGGAGGCAAGTGGGTTGATTCCCTATATACAGTTTCTGACTCGGAAAGCAAAGATAAGTTAACTTTTATGTGACATGTTATAGTTTTTGCAATGCTTCTTACATCCTGCTATCTGTTTTTAACTCAAAGAAGTGGGTTTTGTATCCATATGTTGGGCCTTCAAGAAGAACACTTTCTTTATTGCACTGATACTGTTAATTTTAAGTACCAACCATTGGCTGCAGTCCTTCAAAAGGCCAACTTTTTAGAAGCATTAGTATTGCCTTATGCATTATCATATGCTTCCAGAAGAGGATTTGTTTCCTAAGCCAAGAGAATTCAGAGACTTCAGCTCCACTCATTGAGGTTGCAATATGGCAAATTCAAGTTACAGGAGAGGATGAAAAGATATTGTAAGTTATTGTAGTAATAGCTGAGGGATGGAAAGGAACGAAGAGCCCAAAAGGAGTATGAAAGAGTGAAAGTGTAGTTTAATTGGAAAGTGAATGGGAATATTGGAGAAAATCCTTTGGTGTTCTTGTCAGAAAGCTCGACAGTGGGTTTAATTAAATCTATTTATTAATAAGGGGCATACAAAGGGAGCAAATGTCTGGGATTATAGTTTATAACATATAAAAATATGGAATTAGAAATTTCAGTATTTCAATATCCAGAATGACTAATGATTTAGTAAGTGGCAGAGTTCTTGCAGAGAGAAAAGAAATACTAGCCATGCTGGAAGGCCATTCTCACACACTTTCTGAGTGAAGAGAAAGAGTAAGACAGGGATTTACAGGAACATAAACCACTGCTGTCTGCAGTCTATGTCTCACAAGAGAATCTGTGAAGTAGAGAAGGCAGGAGTAGGGGTGGAGAGGAGATTCATCGTTATCAGCTATATTTGGCTACAGGCTAAAAACCATAAGCTTGTAGTCTCATTAAGAGAGTCTTTCCATTCACTCAACTCTTCATCACTTCGGAAATAGAATATAGTTTTGCGAGAATACATTTTCTAGCTTTCTATTCTCCATGAATTCACATACACACACACACACACACACACACACACACACACACACACACCCACAACATATACAGATTACAAATACACACACCACACACACAAAATGCATACATACCACACACATCACACATATATTTACACATACACACCATATACTGCACACACATGCCACACACACTACACACACCACATGCACACACTACACATATCACACGCACACACTACACATATCACACGCACCACATACACCACACATGCACCACATACGCACCACACACAGACCACATGTCACATACCACACACACACACACACACACCCCACACGTACACCACGTACCACACACACACACATCAAACACCACACACCACACACACAAACGTTCTTTTTGCGCACATAGACATCTGTAGATACCCTCCTATTTCTGGAGGGAGAACTTTCAATCTCTAGACTCTCTTACCTCTCACCTTGATTCAAGATGAGAAAAAAACAGGGACTTCAATACCCCCCAAATCTTAGACTTGTTAGAACTGGGAAGAATGTGTAAAAGGTAGATGCACATTAAAATTAGAATACCTAACCCAGTTAACTCATCATAAACACATGACCCCACTGTGTGATGAGGCAAAGGGAGTTCTGGGCTCTCAGAATAACTAGTAAGAAGTACCAATTTCTTACATTGCCCTTTTTCTCCCACATTTAAATCTCCATAAACTTCACACATTCCCTATCATCCTTGGATATCCAGTTTTTGAAACTTTTTCAGTGTGTCCTCCGGAATTAACACTCTATCAGCAGCAGAATTGCCTATATTCTCAGATTGTTATCTGAGCATTTTCTTCATCTTTCCCCTGTCATCCTCTTCAGTGTGGCTATTTTTTTACCCCACAACTCCTCAACCACCAGTCCTGGAGGAAGAGCAGCTATCTTCCTTCTTTCCACATAAGCTTCCAGAGCTTTCCTGTAAAAGCCCTAGCTTGAAATCTCATATCACCATTTTATGTCATCCACTTACCACTCCTCACTAGTATTCTTGCTTATCAATCTTTGAGTTACTTCTCTTGATATATAAATGATATTGGTTATTGATTCAATGTTTCTTTCTCTATCACAACTCTACTCTTAATTCTTGGCAATTTTGATGTATATGAAAATAATCTTTCCAGTCCTTCTTGGCCTCAATTCCTCGAGCTCCTCTCCTCTAATGATCTGGGTGTCTATGCCATTTTAATTCACAACCTAATTTAAATTCAATCCTTCATTAATTTCAACTGTATATGAACCATGCTCACATTACAGTGATTACCTTTCTTTTTCCAGATCAATCACTTTATTACTGTGATTTCAATAAACAGTAGACCCTACTGGACATCCATTCTTCTATCGTGACAGTTTTTCATGGCCCTTAAATCTCTGGTTTGCTCTCACTGTCTTATCCAGCTTAAATTCAACAGTCAATCATTATAATTACCTTCTTCTTGCATTCCTCTTCAATTCCCTTGCCTCTCTCTCATTTATTAATATTCTTTCACAAAACATACCTTGGTTAAATTCAACTCCCCACCTACCCAGTGTCTCTGGCCATGCAGTTTACTACCTGCAACAAAAACTCTTGATCTTACTGGCAGGTTCCATATAAATTGATGATGACAAACAAAAATGCAGGCCCAAATCATGCTATAAATTGTTAACCAATTCACTCTTTCATTCTTCTACCTCAACACTCTGCTGATGACCTTGTTTCTCACTTCACTGAGAAAAATGATGCAGTCAGAGAATGGTTTCCACTCACATCAGCCACACCTATGGAGTCAACCAAAATAAAAATTTTGTTACTCTAGTCGAGCTATCTACACTGCTAAGTAAAAACCAATCTCTCGGCCGGGCGCGGTGGCTCACACCTGTAATCCCAGCACTTTGGAAAGCTGAGGCGGGTGGATCACGAGGTCAGGAGTTTGAGACTAGCCTGGCCAATATGATGAAACCCTGTCTCTACTAAAAATACAAAAATTAGCTGGGCATGGTGGTGCGTGCCTGTAATCCCAGCTACTCAGAAGGCTGAGGCAGGAGAATTGCTTGAATCTGGGAGGTGGAGGTTGCAGTGAGCCGAGATTGCGCCACCGCACTCCAGCTTGGGTGACAGAGCGAGACTCTGTTTCAAAACAACAACAACAAAAAACCAATCTCTCTATTTGTGCACTGAATTCTATCTCTTCTTGCCTACTAAAAAAAAAAAAAAAAAGAAAAAAAAAGAAAGAAAAGAAAAAAAATCAAACAATTATCTTCCCTCTCTCATGTGTAAGGCATTGTTTTCCTTTCTACTGGCACCATTCCCATCCATAATCAAACACACTATTTTTTCCCTTTTGAAGAAAGAAAAATATTATGCCATTTCCCCCCACCCCTCAGCTTATGTACCATTTCCTCTCTTCTCTTTGCAGCTCATATCCTTAAAGAAAAGTCCATTTTGTCTGCTGCTGATACCTCTCTTCTCATTTTCTTTTAAACCTACTAACTCAGGTTTCCATCACTTTCAATGAAAGTGTTGGAAAGTTGCTATGCGGTAAAGGCAATGGGCCCTTCTCAATCTTCATCCTGTTTAAGTACAGTAGCATTTGAAAAATCGTAGTCCCTACTTCCTTCTTGAAACACTCTACTCATTTGTCTTTCAGAACCTTATGTTCTTGGCTTTTCTTGTCTCACTTGTCACTCCTTCCTAATCTTCCTTTGTTGGTTCTTCCTGCTTTTCCTGGACTCTTACAGTTATCTACCCCAGAGATCAGTCTTTAATCCTGTTGTGTTCTCAGTCTATACTCATTCCCTTGATAATCTCATCTGATCTCCACGCTATTTGCCAGTCTACCAGAGTTACACCTCCAAAACACACTGAGATTCTCAACTACAGGCTGGTAGATACGACGGCCTGTTCAACATCACCAAGTGGATGCATAGAGAACATCTCAAAGTTAACATGTCCAACTTCTGATCTTCCTCCCAAATTAAACTCTATCTGCAGACCCCACCAACTCAGTTATAAATGTTCTTTCCTTCTAGTTTCTGATACCAAAAATCTTGGATGCTCTTGGATTTTACTTATCTGCTCTCAAACTCTACATCTGGTCTCATTGGAGATTATCTACCTTTACAATATATCCAGAATTTTTAACACTTCTTGTTACTCCATGTGAGCCTTCCAACAGGTCTCTGAAAATAATATTTCCACTTTGGTCCTTTACACTGTATTCTCAGTATAGCAGCCAGAGGGGGTCTGTCTAAAAATAAGTTAGTAAATAGTATAGTATTTCTTTGCTCCAATCCTTCCAGTGCCTTCTATCTCATGCAAAGGACAACACAAATGCCTTCCATTAGCCTACAAAGTTGTTACTTTTCCAAGCTCAACTATTTATTCCCTCCATCCATTTTCCTCCAAATATATCTGGCTCTTCACCATTGTTCAGACATACAAAACATCCCCCTGGCTTATTGTCTTCGTATGAGCTGCTCTCCTTCTTTTAAGCACTCTTCCTCCAATTTTCCACTTATCAAATTCCCTTGCCTTCTTCCAATATTTGCTTAAATGTTTTCATTACTGTGGGGCTTCTTCTGTTTACTCAATGTAGAATTATGTTCAGCCTCCACCCACCACACACATGTACCCTCATATACCAATTCTCTTGCTCTGCTTTTTCCTCCCATATCGCTTGTAATTTTCTAACATGGTATATATCTTACTATTAAAACTTAAATATGCATATGGATTACTTCATCTTTATCTCCCTTCTCTATAATGCAGGCACCAAAATGGCAGAAATTATTATTATTTCTTTTTTTCAGTAATCTATCCCAATATTCTGAAATGATGTATCGAACATAATAGGTGCTCAACAAATATCTATAGGAAAAAATAGATGATTGAAAGAATAGATGAGCTGGCTATTCTCAGTTTTGTCCTAAGCCACATGTACTTAGAGAGGTGATATAGTCTTTGACATCCAACGCAGTTATTTATTTATAGTATGTTATTTAGTCATAGTATGAGCTTGTATATGTTATTGAATGCCATCAAAGAAATTGACATAACAGATACACATCTTTGTTTTGAGGGGGAAAAAGGAAATAAAATAAGTCAAACACTTATCACAGTGCTTGGCACATAATAAGTGTTCAATAAATGCTGGCAATTACAGTGTGCTTTGTAAATAGCTGCTGCTTTCATTTTACATCTTCCTCTTGCTTCAGAGGGAAGTAGATAGTAACTATTTTCTTTTGTGACACAAGTCAGCATTTCTGAGCATCTGTGGCTTAGAGCTTCTGATCAGATTGTGTCAATAGTGTGCCTGAATTTAATGAATTTAATCGGCAAGCATATTGTTTGTGCAGGAAAAAAAGCAATTGTCTCTGTGTGATATTTGTTTCTGATTAGCAACAACAATTGCTTCTCCATTTTCAAGCTCTGGTTCATATCGGAGTAATGTTTCTGCAGTGCATACTAGATGAAAATGAGATTGGATTTTCTTTTACTGACAGCCTGACTACAAGCCTTTTAAAGGTAAAAACAAAATACTCCTACACAGGGCGCGAGTTCTATTTCTTTTAAATAGGTTGTCATGTTGCAAATAGCATAATGCAGCTGCAATAAATAAAGAGCATTTGGTTTTTTTTGTTTTTGTTTTTTAGATTGGCATGGTGTGGATGGAAGTGAAGAAAAATGTTCCAGGTTGCTTGTGCAAGACTTTCAAAGTGAAAAGTGAGCCAAATTGAGGGAACCCTAATATAATTTCTAACAATGGAAACAGCATCTCTTCTACAGTCTCTCTCTCTTTAAATTCTAATTTAGAGATTAGTTTAAAAAAGAGTAAAAAAGATGGTAGAAATTTTTTTAAAGAAAATTAAATGAACAAAATCTCATGCAAGCTTTTGATCATGCTAATATATGAAGATAAATTGTAAATGAAATGAGGATTTGACAGAGACTCATATACATTTATACCTCTGAGTTTGGCAAAGACATCTTGTTGAAAAATGATTGACTGCAGAGAATATAAGAAAAAGATTATTAAGAAATCTGTTTTTTCATGGAGTCATAAAATATTGGGATGAGAACGGATCTTTTGAATCATATTATTTTTCAGCATTTTTAGTGAGAATACTGATAGTCAGCAATTTTAAATGTCTTGCCCAGTGTCACATGGGAGGTGAACTAAGCAGCAATACCCCTGGACATTGAGTCCCATACATTTGTACTCCACTCACGCTACCTCTTCTGTCTTACCACAGAAGAGATGGTGACGCTAACTTATTGACTTTTAAAATAAGCAAAAAATGATTAAAAGGGAGAAGTTCTTTTGAATTAGATGAACTTCTTAAGCATTAGTCATGAAACGCTAATGTTAGAACCAATCTGTTCTCAATTTTTGTAATTTTGTCACTTAAAAGAACAATATTTAAATGGAATTTTGCAGCAGATAAACTTTTGGGATTGACTTTTTTCATTCAATAATTATCTGGAGATTCATCTAAATTGTTGGGTATGTCAATAGTTTGTTCCTTTTTCTTTCAGAGTAGTATTCCATGGTATGCATATACTACAATTTGTTTAACCATGACCATTCACAGTTTGTTCAGCCACTCCATGTTTTAACCATTGAAAAACATCTGAGCTTTTTCTAGTTTTTGGCTATTTATGTATAAAACTGCTGTAAAAAAAGAAACTATCAACAGAGTGATCAGACAACCTGCAGAATGGAAGAAAATATTTGCCAACAAGCATATGAAAAAACGCTCAATATCAGTAACCATTAGAGAAATGCAAATTAAAAGCACAATGGAGTACCAACTCACACCAGTCAGAATGGTTATTATTAAAAAGTTAAAAATAACAGATGCTGGCTGGGTGTGGTGGCTCACGCCTGTAATCCCAGCATTTTGGGAGGCCGAGGTGGGTGGATCATGAGGTCAGGAGATCGAGACCATCCTGGCTAACACGGTGAAACCCCATCTCTACTAAAAATACAAAAAATTAGCCGGGGGTGGTGGCAGGTGCTTGTAGTCCCAGCTGCTGGGGAGGCTGAGGTGGAGAATGGCATGAACCCGGGGGGCGGAGCCTGCAGTGAGTGGAGATCTCGCCACTGCACTCCAGCCTGGGCGACAGTGAGACTCCGTCTCAAAAAAAAAAAAAAAAAAAAAAAAAACAGATGCTGACAAGATTACAGAGAAAAGGGAATACTTATACACTGCTGGTGGGAGTGCAAATTAGTTCAGCCATGTGGAAAGCAGTTTGGCAATTTCTGAAATAACTCAAAACAGAATTACCAATCGATCCAGCAATCTCATTATTGGCTATATACCCAAAGGAATATAAATCATTCTCCCATAAAGACATGCGCACACATATGTTCATCGCAGCACTATCTGCAATAGCAAAGATATGGAATCAACCTACATTTCTACCAATAGTAGACTGGATTTTTTAAAAATGTGCTACATAGACACCATGGAATACTATGCAGCCATGGTATTAAAAAAATGTGTGGTACGTAGACACCATGGAACACTATGCAGTTCATTAAAATGAACATGATCACGTTCTTTGCAGCAACATGGATGGAGCTGAAGGCCATTACCCTAAGCAAACTAACACCAGAACAGAAAACCAAATAGTGCATCTTCTTATTTGTAAGTGGGAGCTAAACATCAACTGCATAGGGACACAAAGAAGGGAGAAACAGACTGGGGCCTACTAGAGGGTGGAGGTTGGGAAGATGATGAGGATTGAAAATCTGCCTATCAGGTACTATGCTTTTTACATGAGTGATGAAATAATCTGCACGCTAAACCCTCACGACATACAATTTACCTATATAAGAAACCTGCACTTGTACCCCTCAACTTAAAATAAAGAAGAAAAAACTGCTGTGAGCACCCAGCATAATTATTGTGTGAACATAATTGTTTGTATCTCTGGGATAATGCCCAGGAGTGCAATTGTTGAGTTTTAAGGTAGTTGTTTGATTTGTTTTTAAGGAAACCGTTCATCAGTGTTCCAGAGAGGCGGTACCATTTTACGTTTCTGCCAACAATGTATGACTGATATAGTTTATCCACATCCTTGCCAGAATTTTGTATTGTCAGGTTTATTTTGTTTTGTTTTTCAGCCATTCTTAAAGGTATGAATTGATATCTCATTGTGGTTTTTATTTACATTCTTCTCATGGTTAATGCTGTTGAATGTCTTCTTGTGTGCTTATTTGGCATCTGTACATTCTCCTCATGAAATGTCTCTTCATGGTCTTTTGCCCATTTTTAAATTAGACTGTTTGTTTAAAATAGAAAATGCATATATTTGCACATCAAATCCTCACATGAACTGGAATCTAGATCCTTTGATTTCATAGCTATGTCAGACACCAACTCAAAATGTGAGTCTATCTACTTGGGAGTTCTTAAACTCTTATTTTCTGGAATATTCAACTTGGCATTTCTGAAAGTGATAACATGAATCAATCTCTATTCACTTCCAACAGAACATGAGTACAATTCTCATAAATGGAGGTATCCCCACAAATGAAGCACCTGGGAAGTTAGAGCTTCTTTTCAATTTAGTACTTTAGTGAGAGTCTTACAAATTTAATATGAATTTCAAAATGTTCCTACTGAAAAAAAGAATGTTCCTTGTTTTGCTTAAGTCTATTTTGAATATTTGTTACTTTTTCTTGATTGGGAAAGATAGAAAGACCCTGTAAAATCTTCCAGTTCATTTTCCATTTTATTTTTCATGGCATTAAGGAAAGACATGGAGTAACACCTCTGGTGACACATGTGTTTAATAATCCAAGACCATTGCTTCATTTCTGTGATTTTTTAGAAATGAAGCCATTTGAGGACTTCATTATATGAAACTTTGTTTTTGTAAATGCAATGGAGAATACTGGGTATTTAAAAGAAGGTCATGGCACTTTATTAAAATCATAATAATAATAAAATCCCCAAGAGAAAGGTAGAGTGATTTCATTATCTTACAGAAAGGAATCTGACACTAAAAAAAATGTTTGGTAGTAGCTGCTCAATCTATTTTTAATAAAGGTGATTCAGTTATCATACTATTTCAAAGATTTCTTAAAAATAGAAAATTTATCTGCTCAAAGACCTAAGTGATTATAACTTGTCCTCAGGGTGCAATTCCATGCTTTTATCAGGGTATTTGAAGACTACAAATTGAGCCTATTCTGCCTTTTAAGTGTCTGCTCAAACTGCACCTCTCTATGCTCCCTATGTCTGAATACATGGAAACACTTGTCATCTACACCTCTGTGCATTTGGTCTTTGCCATGTGTATTCTCAATAGCATCCTCAAGATCTTTCCCTTCTACCCCACTCCTCAAAACACACACAGTGCACTGTGGTCATATAGCTTCCAAATCTGCAATGAACATCTCCTTATAGGACAATTTGTCTTTTCATGATAAATGTGTTTCCTTGATTAATCATCAGCTTTGTGAGAGCATGGACGTGTGTGTAGGCTTTAGAGTTAACACCAAGTTAATTTAGTAGCCTCATAAGTGATGAGCTATATAAATTAGGCTTAACTTGTATTAGTTGAGCTAGACTAAGTTAACACTAGACTTAACTAAGCTTGCCAGGTAAAAGAAGTGACTCCCAGTTGAATTTGAATTTCAGATAAACACTTTTTTTTAAAACTTAGTATAAATGTCCCAAATGTTGAATGGGATATAATCTATAAATTCAAATTTACCTAGGAATCCTATACTATTATGTGATAAGTCTGGCAACCTTAGACTTTACTAGACTCAGTTTCCTTAACTGTAAAATAGGAAAATAATACTGACTTCACAGGGTTGTTTGGTATTTTAAGTTCATGATACAAAATAGCAACCTATTTACCTTACCTTAGGTCTTTGCTAAAATGCTACCTGCTTCTTGAGGTCACCTGTGGCTAACTTGTCTAAAATATTAACAATCTTTACATGACCTCATATATCTCTTTTCTATTTGTTTTTACATTTCTCCTTAATCATTTTACTGTCTACCCTGCTATATATTTTATTCATTTTATATACCATTTGTCTGCCCCAACCAGGACATAGCTCCACGAGGGCAGGGAATTTTGTCTGCTTTGTTCGCTGTTGAATCTCCAGTGCCCAGAAAGTGGCTGGAACATGAAGAAATAATTATTGCTTGAAAAAATGAATGAATCAATCAATCAATGTGCATGTTGCTGTTATAATCTTTTTATGCCACACAGTAGAGAACATAAAAGTCCTGGTTCAATGAATGTAAAAATTGGTTTTGTGAGCCACTGAAAGTTTGCAGGCAGGACAGCAATGAGTTAATAGACTGATAGCCCAGGCATGAACAAGAGTAGTTGGTAAGGGAGATGAAAGGTATGACTATGAAGTCGAGAATGTGGAATAATTTAAATTATCAGGAGCAAAACTAGCTGCAATTTTAGACATGGTCAATCAATCTTATGGCTCCTCTGTTCTCAATGGTGAAGCATTCCCTTGGAGACAGGATTAAAATACACAAACTATGTATCAGTTGAAGAAACTGGGGCTAAAACTGAATTAAGAGATTTAACCAAGTTTGTAACATAAACAGGCTCCAAGTCCACCTTTCTTTCTACTTCAGCACAACCGCTTAAGCCTTATGAAAAACTCTAAAACAAATTTTTCTCTAGCCTTGGGCAGATTCACAGGCCTGCATTTTATAGAGTCCTGACCCATAAAATGGGATAATGCCACAATCTCCCTCCAGGGGCTATTAGAGAGATTTATAGGTCAGGATTGCCAAGCACTTTGGGGAGGGAAAACACAATTGTGCTTAGTCACAAGTCCTCATTTTGCATAACCTAACACCTGAAATCCTCAGGTTTCAGTAATTTATTTTATGCTTGTTTGACCAATGAGCAGTGAGCTCAATTTTTTCTGTCTCATGGCAAAAGCAGGTCTCAGAAACCCAGTATTATTTATAACAAACTTAGCTTCCTGAATTTCTTAATGATATAAATCATTGTTATATATTAATGATATTTATATATTCAAATTACAGTAATTTCTTTGGGTTCTCAACTTATAATCTTTGGGCAGGTTTACAAATGTCTCTGTCAGTTTTTGGAATGGAGAGGCTTCTGGGGACAATTCCTTGTTGCTGAGATTTTCTACTGACTCAGTCCTCTGTCACTGGCATGTAGGTCTGACCACCTTATTGTTCAATATCTAATCAGGATGAAATTCCTTTTATATGGGTGCAGCTGCAACAAAATATGCTATTCATGACTGTGGGAAGAGTCAGAAAGAGACTGAGAGGCTGAGACTGTGTGGTCAGGCAATAGGAAAGCAAGATCACATCTACATACCTATGAATAATGTAATTAAGTGAGAGATAAGGATTTACATTCCAGGTTCATTTGCCAGAATTTCAATCTCTTTCTCTTCTTTTTCTATCAAAACACAGAAATTTGGCCTTTTCTTTGGAGAAGAAAAAGTGTTATGTCTGCCTCGAATACAGATATTCCTATTTATATGAAAATAAATAACAGGGAACTTAACCTTCTACTTGTCATAATCTACTGAGTACATCCATTGCCAGGGAATTGTACAGCACATTTTATGGTAAGGAAGGGACTGTATTTACCCTGAATGAATTTTATATGCTCAGATAAACCAACTAGGTAGACATAATATTAGAAGCTAACATGGTGTTAACTTCATGTCAGACAAGCCCTGAGGACTTTCATTCATTAAATTATTTATTCCTCAGAACATCCCTAAAAGGCAGAAATTTATAATTTCTTCCATTTTGCATATAAGAAATTTATTTCACAGAGCAGTTAAGTAAATCGTTCAAAGTTGCATATCTAGTAAGTGGGAGAGCTCAGATTTGAACTCAGGCTCTCTAGCTTCCTAATCTCTGCTCTCATTCACTGTGATGTACTGCTAATACCATTAACAGGTACTGGCAAATAAATTCCTTATTGCCTTACCCAAGGTCAATCTGAAAGTCATCACAGTGTCTTTTTTTTTTTTTTTTTCTTTTTGTAGAGATGCTCTTAACTGCCAGTGGCTGTCACCAGCTGAAACTTTGAGTTATGGACAGCCACTCACTGATTTGGTAACTGTATTAAAAAAATTAAATAAAAACTACCAATGAAATTGAGTCAATTTACTTGATCTGGATTTTTAATTTTTTTTTTTACTATACAGCAGTGGAAATAATTTTCTTAAATCACTACTTAATTATCCACTAAGCATTTTCATAAGAGTGTGGAATATAATTGTCATAAAAAACTTCTGAGTAAGATACATAAAACTTAGTTAATTTTCCAAAAATCACACACCAAAAACATGACAAAATTGGCCTCCAAACCATGTTTTCGTGACTCAAAACTCATGGGACTTACAATATGTGATACTATTAGAAAACTACGGAGAGCTACATGCATGTGTAAGCATGAATACAGGTTTTTGTAATAGAAACTAAAACATAGGACAAAATGTGTGGGAATGTAATACAATGGTTTATGTACCTTAAATGTGGTCAGTCTTTAGGTCTGTTTCACTAATCTATGCAAAAAATTGCACATCAATATTTTTCTTCATTCACCATTTTTTTCACAGGTGTTTCAGCTTTGAAGCTATGGGACAATAATAACACGAAGGCTGGCCACTTTGTTTCATGCCTCCTTGACCCGTGTGTTCCATGTATGAAAATCTTTAGATTTATGTTTTCTGATTACTTTAACTAGGATCTCTGTATTCCAGTGGCTTATAATCTTAGAACTTGTCAGGGATGAAAGAAGTGAGCTAACTTGCAAGCAACTATTGTTTGGCTATATGATGCCATGAATCCTGTTTAGTTTGTGATTACTTTGGAAGAGAATAAAACTAGAAAGTCAATGTACCCATTCCAGTATTCTCTCTAGAGTAGTGCCAATTTAAACTGGGATATCTCCTAAAATTATGTCAGTGAATTTTGCATTCTCTCTGTTAAGTTTTATTAAGTTTATACTTATTCTTAGTCATGATAATCAATGATTAGTATATGTCTAATTGAAATCACCTCTCATCTGTTTCTTTGCATTTTTCTCTAAAATCCCTTTCAAAAGGGGTTGCACCTCCTTTCTACTAAATATTTAAAAGGGCAGCAGGTGAGAATATTTTATGCATTATATAGAAATTCTTTTTCCATCTGCTGAAGGTTTTTATTTTTATTTTTAATTTTTGCTCCTGTTTCTTTTCTTCTTCTTCCCTTTCCCCAACCAGGGTATAATGTGTAACTACATTAGTCCAGAGATCCTAGGGTTTAACATCTTTAAAAACTTTATTATTAATAGTTCAGCTTTCTTAAAATGCATTATACTAAAAGGACAATGGAGTTTTGTAACTGTGCTTTATTATATCAAAGGAAAGCATATTTGTTAATAAAATACTAAATGCCAGTGTCCATATCTGAGTCTTCAGAGACCTCTCTGCAGGCACAAAGTTTTCATCTCATGTGCCTACTCTGATGTATTGGTAATGTCTGATTGAAGTACACATTGAGAGTAATCCTGTCGCCATGCCTGAGCAAAGCGGAAGTTCCAAGATCAATTAGTGAAGTCTATCATGATTAGGGAACTGGGGGATGGAGACACGTAGGCCAGATAGTTGCCCCGTTCAGGACTAACACTCTTCTATACAGTTATTTTCTTCTGTATTTTCTTCAATTCATTTCTAAAATTTTCTTCAATTCACTTCTAAAATTTTCTCCAATTCACTTCTGAAAGTAACCCGGATAGTCCTATACTGTTATAACATTTATCCATGTTCCATAAGCATTTTATTATTTGAGAGTTCTTATTAATGTCTAACCTGCATAGATTTGGCATAATTTAGAGCTATTTCCTCTTGTTCAGCCGTATTCAGAAGCAGAGTTTCCATACAATGACTCATCTTATACATGAAGGGTGTTATTAAAGAATGGTCTGGGATTGTCCAGGGAAGGATGGAGGCTGCATATTGGGAAAACAGCAATTGAGATGTACATTGTGTTATATCTCTTGGCTGAAAGGCCATCTGTTTTCAGGAAAAAAAAAACAGACATTCCTGTTTCATCACAGCAGGAACAAGAGGAGCTTTCTAAAAAGAATACAGAAGTAACAACAGCCCCAGCTTACACAATGCAGACTCATAATAGAAAACAAATTTGACCCATTTTATAACAAACATCCCCCTTGTTTGGTGTGTCCATGGTTCCATTAATTGCCTTTGGACTCACAGAAATTAAGTGCACCCATACTGTCCAGTTATTCTTCATTCTCTTTCATCAAGGCCTGTTTGGAGAGGTGAGAATTGACACCAAGCTTATCATCAGTCAGGCCCAGATTATGTAGATGTACAGAGAGCTATGAAAAAGAACACTCAAGGAGTTTGTCAGAAGATAATTTATGTGTTATTTTAGCCTGAAGAAATTAAATACAACAGAAGTAGAAAATTCCTTGATTTTCATAGAATTGAGTAATCTTTAAATCATATGTTAGGGGGCTCTAGAAGAAAAAGTGGCCTGTGAATCTGTATAGTAGATGTTTCACCTTAAAATGTGAGATAACTCAGATGTATTAATTGCCTGCCCTGTGCCAAGCAATGCTACATATTTTCTTTCTATTATTGTTGAGGCTTAAGGGTTCCGATAAACTATAACCCCTCTTTTCCTCACCTTCAGCAGCAATTGAGAGACTGATGCATGGAAATCACAGATGAAGATGAAAATACCACCTTCATGGCCAGTCAAGTGTTGAAGAATGTGATTTAGATGCAGCCAACGGTACCTACAATTACACTCCAACAAAATGGAACTCACTTCAAACTAAGAGCCCATTCCATGGAGGAGAGGAGAATGAGAATGTAGAACAGTCAGACAAAGGTAGAGAAAGGAAGAATCCCAGCCAATTCTTGAAGCTTAGCTTTAAATCCAGTTTGTTCCTAAACACTCAGCAACCAGGAGTCTGACTAATCTTCAGGAGGGGAAGAATAAGTGCAGAAACTGGTGGTTTTACTTTACTTACCTTGAAAACAGGCCCAAAATTGGGAAGGGGAGTTACAAGGGGAAAAATTATTCCCTGCTAATATTTTTCATTTTACTGTCACAATATTAAGAGATGTTTGTTGGAGGAAAAAAGTTGTATTTCCTAAAGACTGGTTTCTATACATGTGAGAGATACATGCCATAGGAGAGAACATTGTGAGAATATTCCTGGCCCCTCTTTACTTCCTCCTACTCCCCAGTTCTTCCCTAAAGAAGATGCAACTTATCTGATCGGTGAATTTGGAGCAAGAACTAAGCAAGCTTCGTTTAGCCTCCTCTGGCTCTTCCCTTTGTATCTGCTTTTCTTCTGAGAAGGTGTTCATCTTGGAAGTCAACGCACTTCCGTGGGATCTGCCTTTTAGAAAAGCAGGAGGCTATCCTCTGGTGCTAAGGACAAGTAGGTTAGGCTCAAAACTTTAGGGTGAAGCATGAGAAAGTTCACTGTGTCTACATATCTAAGCATACCTCTATTCAGCTTTAACAGTCATACAGCTGGCATTTTTCACATTTTAGCATCGTTCTAGCTGTCCTAACTCTCAATCAATCCCAATTCAGGAGGAAAGAAATGAAAACTCACCAACTTGGACCTTAGTCTGCAGCCTCGAGAAACTGGCATTTTGGTAGCAACACAGCACAGATTTTTCAAGATGACAGATATGACCTACATTGGTGGTTTTAGTTTTAGGCCTTAGGCATAGATGGTACAAGACCACCCACTGTGAGAACTAACAGCTGCTAATTGTGTCCAGTTTTTACAGATGCAGAGATAGTTTTATTGGGAAACTAGGCTTCCCGGTCCTTAGTGAGAAGCAGCAAAGCATTGAAGAACAAGCTGCTGTAGGTTACACTAATGGACTTGCACAGGAACAGGTTTTATCTTAGCAACTGAAGTTCAAGATTGGAATGAGGAGATGAGCAAGACTTTCACTATTTGTCAAAACAATTTCAGACTGGCAGAATTTTAATGTATAGATCTCCTGGTTTGGCCTCTTAGTATGAAGAAAGACTGAACAATATTTGTTGTGGTGGCTGTGTCTGCAGGCTGGAATAAGATACTAAAAAAGGGAGCTGGCTTCCACAAAGCACCAGTGTGTTGTTCCTGCCAGGCATGGTAGGCAAATCTAGATCCCATGTCACAAGTGCTGTTTCTTTCTATTTTGTATAGCACTTAGAGCCAATGAAAAGAACTGGAGCGGGGCTAAGCTCTTTGATTCCTGAGGTTTGTCATAAATCAAGGATTAAGTCCTCACCAAATAGTTTCAAATTGGCTCCAAAGAGTTTAATTGAATGGTCTTTGAATATGAGCTAAAATATCAGAGTCCTAGACAGGCTACTGGAGTTTTCGGTTTGAACCTAAAAAGCAGCTATATTTTTATTCCAAATCCAATGTCTAATCAACTAATAAAGGTTGGAAAGGCCTGTCATTGGAAAGGTCTCTTGAAAACTTGGTTTTGCTCAGGAAATTAAGAAGAAACTAGATCACCAAGGAAAGACATCTAAATGTCACTCTAAGCACCAAAATCAAAACAATTGGATAATAAGACAAAAACAAAAACATGTGATGTAATTAAGCTGAAATAAAGACTTATTTCATTAGGAGAAATATTAACAAGTAGACTAAATAGAGATATACACAGCATATTAGATCTTGGAGGCCAGACTAGACACATTTGAAAGGGCAAAGAGATGCACCTAGATTGAATTGCTTTTAAAAGGAAGACTAGAAAAAGTGTGGCCATAGTTGTCATTAGATAAGAAAGGATGGATATGATCAAACTAAATCTAACAGCTCAAGAGGGACAATATCTCAATGAGAGACAGAAATGGCTCCCCAAGAAGTTCTAGATAAAACATTCAGAGGGATCCTCTCAAAGTTGTAGATAGAAGCTACAATAGCAGCCATTGTAACCATTCTTTGAAGAATAGTTAAAAGGAATTGAGAAAAAGGGGCCGGGCATGGTGGCTCATGCCTGTAATCCCACCATTTTGGGAGGCCGAGGCAGGCGGATTACCTGAGGTCAGGAGTTCAAAACCAGCATGGCCAAAATGGCAAAACCCCATCTCTATTAAAAACACAAAAATTAGCCAGGTGTGATGGCACGCACCTGTAATTCCAGCTACTCAGGAGGCTGAGTCAGGAGAATCACTTGAACCTGGGAGGCAGAGGTTGCAGTGAGCCGAGACTGTGCCACCACTCCAGCATGGGTGACACAGCGAGACTCTGTCTCAGAAAAAAAAAAAAAAAAAAGGAAGAAAATGGTGGGATTTGAGAGTGAAATAACAAGATGATCATTATAGGTGATTTCAGGTTCTATAGGTGACAACCAAGTTGATATAGTTATCAGAAGAAAAAATGAAGATATTTTTGCATACTGAAGAAATAAGTTTAAGAAATTTATGGAGTTGGAACTCTATAGAAATGCCGAAGAATGAGATATACTAAATGAGAGCCAGACTGGACAGGAACTGGCCATGTTAAATCTAGGTTATTTGACGTTGTTTTCATCCAAGGAGAATGATTTCCTATCTGAGTTTTTCCTACTCAGAAATTTGAATTTGGAGTCATTTTTTTAAAAACAGTAAATTCTTTTGGCAGACCTCAAATTATCAATATCTCATCTCTTCAAAATAGAGGATAAGATAGCAGGGCATGGTGGCTCACGACTGTAATCCCAGCACTTTGTGAGTCTGAGGTGGGTGGATTGAGGCCAGGAGTTCAAAACCAGCCTGGCCAACATGGTGAAACCCCATCTCTACTAAAATACAAAAATTAGCTGGGAGTAGTTGTGCATGCCTGTAATCCCAGCTACTCAGGAGGCTGAGGCATGAGAATTGCTTGAACCTGGGAGGCAGAAGTTGCAGTGAGCTGAGATTGTGCCACTGCACTCTAGCCCGGGCAACAGAGTGAAACTCTCTCCCCTACCCTCAAAAAAAAAAAAGAGGATAAAACAGGACACAAGTTAAAGCTAAAGAAATCAGTTACTAACAAATACAAATAATTTTAAAATGAGGGCCAGAAAGCAAAACAAAATCAAGAAGGAAGAAAGACCCTCAAATCCAGCCATCACTACCAGCTCTGTATGTGGGAGAGAAAGAAGAAGGAAGGATAGAATGTGAGAATCTTCACTGAAGTTATAGAAAATGACAGAAGACTACCAGAGGGAAAAAAAAAACCACTAGAACATACCCATATCCCACTACTGTGGACAAATATTGGACATGTCCCAGCAACCATTGATGCAGCATAAGTTATTCAGGGCCAGGACATTTAAAAGTTGAAGAAGGTCAAGGTACTAAAAAATAAAACATGACAAAGGTATTCACTTTCATGATGTCACCAGGGGTATAAATATTAGAAGCATCAACAGAATCTGTTGAGGGTGATCCTTTAGGAAGCTCTAATGTGAGAATAAAGTGGAAACTTTCCTGGGAGGGAGGCTTTATAAGCTGAGGCAATGCCTTAGCAGGAGATAGTGGCAGTAACACTTTAGCACCAGACTAAAAATGCCTGCTTACAAGCAATAGTGGAGACTATGTCAGCAGGTATAGCCCATACTCTGTTCTAATTTGGTGTCAAAAACTCAGGCTTCCAGAAAAAAGGAAATACAGAATCTGGAATGTCCTGGACAAGAAAGAAAGGCAACTCAAAGAAGATCAGGCAATTGTGAATGTCTTTAAATGAGTAAGGAAATAGTGAACACTGTGTATAGGTAGACGGCTATTTTGTGTGTGTGTGTTTTGTTATAGAGCTCATGTAAAACTGTAATTAATCATTTTACTTGCTCATGCTGTATTCAATTTTTAAAAATTTTTGTTTATTTATTTTTTGAGATAAGATCTATTCTCTGTCACCCGGACTGGAGTGCAGTGGCCCAATCATGGCTCTTTGCAGCCTCAAACTCCTGGGCTCCAGTGATCTTCCCACCTCTGCCTCCCCAAATGCTGCAATTACAAGTATGACCCACCATGCCTGGCCCAATTAATCTCTTGAATAGAAGTTTCTACAAACTAAGTTTAAATTCACATGTCAGGAATAAATGCCATAGGCTGACCAGCACCCTAGAGAAACCAAGGTTCACTTCATCTACCCAACTTGCCTCAGGTGGAATGGAATCTCTGCTTGATCTTTGGCAAGTGAGTTTAGATTATATAAATGTTTGGGTCATGACAATATCATTGTCCTTGGAGAGCTTTACTAGGGGATGAGTATTTGTTTATGTTTCTAAATATGATAGAGATCATTCTGGTGCTGTGATAAACTTGTGTTTTCTATTATCATTCCCATTATTATTAAAAAGTGAGGTATCCCGATATGATGCACTGAGAAAGATAGAACATCATTTTTGTAGGATTCTTGCCAAAAATGTGTAATTTTAATATAACCATGTGGAAACATCAGGCAAACCTAAATCGGGGAGGAGTTTACTAAATCACTGGCCCATAATCTTTTTTTTTTTTTAAGTTCAGCGATGCAAGTGCAGGTTTGTTACATAGGTAAACTTGTGTCATGAAGGCTTTTGTACAGATTATTTCATCACCCAGGTAGTGAGCCTAGTACCCATTAATTATATTTCCTGATTCTCTCCCTCCTCCCAACCTCTGCCCTCTTAAAGGCCCCAGTGTGCATTGTTCCCCTCTATATGTCCATGTGTTCCCATCCTTCGGCTCCTACTTATAAGTGAAAACATGCAGTATAGGTTATCTGTTCCTGTATTAGTTTGTTAAGGATGGTGGCCTCCAGCTCCATCTATGTCCCTGCAAAGGACATGGTCTCATTCTTTTTTATGATTGCACAGTATTCCATTGTGTATATGGGTCTAATATGAAGCATCTATATGGAATTTATACAAGTTTACAAGAAAAAACAAACAACCCCATAAGAAAGTGGACAAACAGACACTTTTCAAAAGAACACATATATGTAGCCAACAATCATGAAAAAAAGCTCAACATCACTGATCAGTAGAGAAATGCAAATCAAAACCACAATGAGATACCATCAAACACCAATCAGAATGGCTACTATTAAAAAGTCAAAAAATAACAGATGCTGGTGAGATTGTGGAGAAAAAGGAACACTGACATGCTGCTGGCAAGAATGTAAATTAGTTCCGTGACTGTGGAAAGCAGTGTGGCCATATCTGAATGTAAAACAGAATTACCATTTGACCCAGCAATCTCATTATTGGGTATATACCCAAACAAATGTAAATCATTCTACCATAAGGATACATGCCACTTACATCCACTGCAGCTCTAATCACAATAGCAAAGACATGACATTCACCTAAATGCCTATCAATGATAGACTAGATAAAGAAAATGTGGTACATATACACAATGGAATACCATTCAGCCCATAATCTTTAAAACTGCTAAGGTCATGAAAGCCAAAGGAAATGTGAGACACTGCCAGGCTGAAGGGGACAAAAAGAAACTTGGCATCTCAACAAAATATGTGACCCTGAATCTAATCTGGGAAAAAGTATTTTGGTGAGGAAGCCTAAAAAGGGGCCATAGATTAAATAATATGATTGTATCAATATGAATTTCCTGATTGTGAAAATTATACTATGGTTATGTAAGAGAATGTCTTTTTTATACAAGGTAAAGAGACATTGTGTTTACTTAATGTTTACATTACATTTACTTATACTCATTTTTTATTTTTCTGAGACAGTATCTTCATACCCTTTTTGTTGCTATTACAGAATACCACAAAATGGGTATTTTTTTTTTTTTTTTTGAGGCAGAGTTTTGCTCTTGTTGCCCAGGCTGGAGTGCAATGGCACAGTCTCAGCTCACTGCAACCTCTGCCTTCTGGGTTCAAGCAATTCTCCTGCCTCAGCTTTCCGAGTAGCTGGGATTACAGGTGCCCGCCACCATGCCCAGCTAATTGTTTGTACTTTCAGTAGAGACAGCATTTCGCCATGTTGGCCAGTCTGGTCTCCTCCTGACCTCAGGTCATCCACCTGCCTTGGCCTTCCAAAGTGCTGAGATTACAGGTGTGAGCCACCGCACCTGGCTGGGAATGGGTAATTTACAAAGAACAGTTTATTTGGCTCACTGTTTAGGAGACTGTGGAGTCCAAGTGCATAGTTCTTGAATCTGGCTGGTGCCATCCCATGGTGGAAGACAAAAAGAAGAAGCATGTGTTTGTGACAGACAGAAGCACTAGGAGCTAGCTTTGCTTTATAATAACCCACTCTCTAGATAACTAACTCTCTCCCTTGATAATGACATTAATCCATTCATGAGGGCAGAGCCCTTGTGACTCAATCACCTCTTTTAGGTCCCACCTCCCAATACTGTTGCACTGGGGATATAAGTTTCCAACATATGAACTTTTAGGGGACTTATTCAAACCATAGTAAAGGGAAAATAATGATAAATCAAGTATGGTAAAATACTGACATTTGGGGAATATGAGTGAAGGGACACAGGTAGAGTTGCCAGATTTTGCAAACAAAAATATGCAACACTCAGTTAAATTTGAATTTCAGATAAATAATGAATATTTTTATTATATATCTGTATCAAATATTGCATAAGATATATTTATATTAAACATTGATATTTATCTCGGTGTCCTGTACTTCAAATTCAAATTTAACTGGATGTCTAGTGTTTCTCTGGCAACCTTATATAATATCTTCTTATAATACTATGTACTACATTTGCCACCTTCTAATATCTTTAATTTTTTTATTGGCAAGTTAAAAAATTTAAATTGCATAAGAGACTTGGAATCTAATTCACTTCATTTTAGAGGTTTTAAGGGATTTGAACCCACGCAGTAAAAAAGCCTAGGTTACCACCCTGGAAGAACCATCCTTCTATCAAGAAATTTGAGTGAGTGTGAAAGATAGAAATAAAAAATAGAAACTGGGAAGGATAATGTGACATGTGGGGTTGAATTTACTTGGATCTTACCACATAGCTTTTTGTATTTTTAAGAAATCTTCCCTAGAAGTTTGATAAGGGGAAGAAGGTTATATTCAATTTAACGGAAATTTTTAGTTTGCTGAAATTGTATTACTTGAATTCATTTATGCTATCACTTAAAGTCATCACCTAACCTCTGATCAGAGATGTATTGGACAACCTAACTGCATGTTTTGAGATGGGAAATAGAACCAAGTGTTAATTTTCAGCCTAGGGTGCAAGCAGAGACTTAGAGTTAAGTAATATGCTGTTCTGAAATATTTCTGAGCTTTCTAATGGCAGGTGGGGTGAAAATTGCTGTCTATTAATGGTCTCAGGAGAATCGCCAGAGGAGCAGTGACTGATATTAGGGGAGTCCTAAAGTTGTTGTACATGACTGGGCAGACAAATTTGTCTCATTCAGGGTGAAATGTTAACAAGTCAATTATAGCATCTTATTTAAGCTGCCTCCTCCAGTCCACTTTGTCACTACAAAATGTTCATCTTTACCTTCCAAATTACATTTTTTATCTTTCAGTCTTAAGCTTGGGATAGGGAATAAAACAAGGTTTTCTTTTTCCTTTGCCTCCCAAATATTTTAACAATGATTATATAGGATGGGAGATTCAGTTCGGTTAAATATCTTTCCCCAAGTTACAGAAATAAAAAGGCTTAAACCCAACTTCAATGCATGGTCTACCCTACTTCACTGTTCATATTTTTTTGCATCTCTGTGACCATAATTAGGAATGCAATCATATAATACTTATGTAATTACTATAACATTCATATACAGTATCACATAATAATTTTACATTCAGCATCAATATCAATTTTTTCCCTATATTACATGGCCTCTCTATAGTCAATATGTGTTGGGCTACATACATGTACAATATTTCATGACAGAATCAATAATTGAATGAGAAACTAAGTGCTTGATATTTCATGGATGGCTGTTTTCTTATTCTGCTGACAAACGAAATCTATTTATGATTTTAAATGAATATAGTTTATCTCAACTCTATAAATAAGCATTGTACAAGCCTCATTTTACCCATGCAGCTTCCAATTCATTAGTTCTTCTATGCCAAGTTATCCTAAGTTTTCCTCTCAATCACGTACCACAGGGCAGACTCCCTATTACTTATCAAACCACTGTACTTTATGATAGAGTCTCACTCTGCACAAACTCACCTGCAGACTGAAGCAAAAACATCTCAATCAACTTGCAGTTTTTTGAAAGAGTGAATAAAATGCTTGTTATCATGAGTCACTGAGATTTGGGGTGATTTGTTATATAGTATTATTGCATATCTGACTTTTACAAATTAGTCGCAATCTTGTTTGAGAAGCCATTGACTAGAACTATCTAAGTAACTGGAGGAAAATGCCTTCTGTAGGAAGCCTACACTAATCCATTCCCACTCTGCGGTCTAACGTTCCTAAATGTTATGTATTGCAGACTGACCAAGCCCTGGTGTGGGGTGTGGTAGAGTGAGAGGCTGGTTACCTATGGCAGCAGTTCTCAACTCTCTCCTGTGGAGAAATCCATGATGGATGGTGTTTACCTGAGTGGCCCACTCCCGCGAGGGTCCCTAGGACTCCTTGGCAAGCAAGGTGTAACACTACCAGTCCTTTCTCTTTAACTCTAGAGATAACATATTGTAATAGATGTAAAAGTGAGAGTGACACTTTTTCAGAGATACGATTGAATCCACTTCAAATGTATATAAAACAACTGTTTGTGAACATTTTAATATTTGTGAATATTTTAATATTGATCTACCTAATAGCCAATCATGTCTTGAACTATCTCAGATTATAGTAGAGAACTGTCTACTCCAAACCTCATCCCTCTCTTAATCCTCTCTTATTCCTCTTATCCTATACAAGCTTGTTACCTTCTACTTCAAGAATTGAAATCATTGTATTCCATGATAAATTGCATACTATTACAGCGGGAATACTACACACTCAATAATTTCCAATTCCTTCCTCCTCCTTCTCCTCTTATTCTTCTCTTCAGTGCTCTTCTAAGGAAAAAGACCTTGTAATTTTCAGTCATCTATATTTGATATGCAAAACACTGATTTTGACCTCTGAAACTGCTTTTGTTTTATTTGATCTCATAACTTGTTAGATTTTGTAAAGGAAAAAATGCAGAGCTGCCACTAACGGCTCTGTCAAATTCTTTTTCTTGTTGCACGGTGTGCCTCTTAATGACAAATCTTTTCCCAATATCATAACATTACAGGCACATATGGTTATTAAAACTGACTCATTTCAACTACCATGACTGCTGATTGAATGAATCCAAAAGGTCATCCACCTGCCTCGGCCTTCCAAAGTGCTGAGATTACAGGCGTGAGCCATCGCACCTGGCTGCGGATGGGTAACTTACAAAGAACAGTTTATTTGGGTCACTGTTTAGGAGACTGTGAAGTCCAATGTAACATTTTTTTCTCCAATGTTACCTGAAGCTCCTCTATTTACCCAGCTGTAGATTGGACCTGTGGTTCTAGCCAAGGGTTTGGGATGGAGAAAGGCTATGTAAATCTCATTTATTTTCCTACCTTCTATAAGTTCATCCTCCTTTTTGTGTTACCCATGTAGTGTAAAAAATAAGAGGGAAGGTGAGGAGAAAAATAGAATTACCTAATGGAAGGTAAACTGTCTCCTCCTTTCTCAGTAGTAATTGATGTTCACTTCTGTGGCTATTGTTTGTACTTTGAGGTCTGTTGATACCACACTCACTAACTGGCTAGCTTTGCCTTTGCACAGGCAATACGCAACTACTCACTCCTACATGAGGGTTTATTTGTTGGCTCTTTTGCATAACTCCCTGGTGATGTCTCCCTACTCAGTCCCTTGGCATAAAATATCTGACTGATCAGCTTCTTCTTCTCTAATTCTCCTCATCCTTGAATCCAATTGGTGATTCTTCAAACCTCTTGTTTCAGTCTTCTAATCCAAAAGATGCCCCTTCGTTGTGGGTAGGAGTAGTGCAGTGCAAACTCTAGCTAGCTGGAGATCTAGGTAACTTGTCATGCCAAGTGGTGAAAAAGTAGTTTCCTTCTTTAAAACTCTCATCTTTACTATGCCTTTCTCGTGCTCTTCTCCCTGTTGCAGACATGTCTGGGTATGTTCACAAACATGGACATTATATTGGTCAATAAAATATTAGTCTTTCTTTCCGTAAGATTTATCTCACTTTACTTATTTGTCTCCTAAAGGTCTCCTCCATTTCTTAGCTTTGGAGAGGGGAAACAGATTATCTTTCTTGGGTTGCACTTCCCCTTTGAAAGCTATTTTTTTCTCTCTCCTGGTCCCTGTCTCTTTACTATCCTTAGAATAGGCCAGAAATCCAGTTTGATGTTTTTAGCATGTGGCAAGCCAGGAATTTCAAGCAAAGAATCAAACTTTTTCCAAACACTGATTTGATTGTTTAATAATCAGTTTTTCAATAGAGCAACATCTCACTTGTGGTAGACCATATTATGATTCAGCAAATATTTCCCTTTTCCTCTTCCATAGAATTGGGATTCTCATCCTCACCCCAACAACCTTGAGCTTGGACATGTTATTTTGCTTGGCCATTGTATTAGTCTGTTCTCACACTGCTAATGAGACATACCCAAGACAGGGTAATTAAGGAAAGGAAAGAGGTTTAATTGACTCACAGTTCCACATGTCTGGGGAGGCCTCACAGTCATGGCAGAAGGCGAAGGAGGAGCAAAGTCACATCTTATGTGGCAGCAGGTAAGAAAACTTGTGCAGGAAAATTCCCCTTTATAAAACCATCAGATCTGATGAGACTTGTTCACCATCAGGAGAACAGTATGGGAAGGACCCGCCCCCATGATTCAATTAACTCTCACCAGGTCCCTCCCATGACATGTGGGAATTATAGGAGCCATAATTCAAGGTGAGATTTGGGTGGGGACACAGACAAACCATATCAGCCATTAAATGTGTACAGATGTGATTTAATAGTGTTTTAAATGCACTCGTGTTGTTTGAGTTCTACTTTGTCATGGCCATGAGAACACTATGCACCAGGTACCTGCTGCTCTTTCAGGCTTGGTTTCAAAATGGAAGACCAAAGAACAGGCTTGAATGCAAGCTTAGGCAAGTCACTGCTGACATTGACCAAGGAGTAAGGAGTGACTGTTGTTTTATGCTCCTGAAATTTGGGTATAGTTTTCTAGCATAATAGAGCAAATTAATACATCAAGTCGAATCTCTATACTCTTCTATTATTTCAGTGCCTTACACCAAACTGGTTATGCAAGGAGGTTTGTCTTTGGATTTGTGACCTGTTCAGTCACACATGGCTTGGCACTTCGTTTAATTCTCTGATCTCACTGTCTTAATAATTTTTTAAAATAAATGGCCCTGTATTTTAATTTTTTACAGGATCCTATTAAATTTCATAGGCAGTCCTCTACCTAATTTAGATATTTCAAAGAAAATTTGGTAGAAAGCAAAGAGCAGTCTTCAGCTAGCAGCACAATAACTCAGATGTATGCTCTATTATGTAGCATGTACATGCATGAGTGCATATACACACATGCACATTTAACACTGGCTTTGTTTGCTGGCATGATTCTCAAACTATGTGAATTAGTAGCTGTTGAATCTTGAAAATGTTGCTTATATTCTCTTAGCTAAAGTTATTAAATAGTTTGCATAATAATATGTGGTAGAGATGTTATGAGAGCTAAATGATTTATTTATCAACAATAAAGCATCTACCACTTTGCATTATGTTAGGTGATCAGTTAATTTTCTTGTCCTATTCCCTTTATCCAATGTTTTAATTGAAAGAAAGCCCTTGAAAGCCATTATCAGATAAACACGAATGAATCAACAAATTAAAAGCAAAGTTGGCAAAGTGGGGTAAAATAACAGTTGGAGAACAGAAATGCATTAGCTTCTGCTGTTTAAATGTGAACAAATTGGGGAGACATGATGTGACATGACTCCCCAACTTTTTGTTTTGTTTTTTTCTAAATCTTCCCAACTTTTTAATGCAAAATAACTTTCTAATTTTCTTTGAGGGAGTAACCCTCTTAGTCATCAGGACGTTGACTATTTTTGCTGTTGTTTCTATATTTTTGTGTGTCTATTTGTGCCAGGAGTGAGGTTTGAATTATCACACTCCATAGATAAAGAGAACTTTGTGTTAGAGTAACTCAGAGAAAAATGCCCAAGATTCAGCCTAAAAGCCAGGTCTTTGACCAATATAATCAAAGAGATCAATTGCTTGAAAAGCAGCTAAAATCAAAAGCATGATGTTTTGTCTTGGTGTTTACTCACTATTGCATTGCAGTCAAAATAATGGACTAGAAATCACTTAAAACTTTTCAGCAGAATTACTCCTGTAACATTTTAATAGGTTTAGAAGATAATCTATAAAAATACATATAATTGAAAATTCTCCCAATCCACTGTCTAAGGAGCATGTTTACAAAATAAAACAAAACACACAAAAACATCTTTTAGGGAAGTAAGCAATAAATTCAGGTTGTTACATCCAGTTTTGCCAGTGATTGGGAAAAGTGTGTGCACAAAAATGCCTTTTGCTTTTCTCAGTATTCGGCTGGGCCACTTAGTTTATTTAAGAGCTGCTGAGATCACTGTGAATGAGAGAGGCTTTTTATGCCCTTTTTGCTGCAAGTGCCATTAAAGATTGCTGGAAAGTTGGGGGCTGGTGAAAATCTTGTTTAGAGCTCTATCCATCATACAATTATCTCCTCTGAGATATGAGCACCAATTGAGCAAAATAATTGAAGTTCTACACTAAAGGATTGAGTACTGAGCTAAGAGACTAAGAAAAGGGTCTTCAGAGATACACATAGTTCATTTACATATAACACATTTAGAGGAATCTGTTTCTGACTTTTGGATTCATTCATTCTACAGATAGTTACTTAATGGCAGGCACTATGTTAAGCCCCACTGCTATGTGGTAAACAAAACTAGGTCCCTGCTTTATGGAGCTTAATCCAGTAGTTGATTTTGAAAGGAAAAGGAGGGGAATACTTAGCCTGGAATGAGAGAAAGAAAAGTGGTTATCAGCTCTCAGCTAGTGGAAAAAACATTTACTCAGCTCCTACTATAAATAAACTGTTCGCAACATTATAGTTTACATTTTACAATGTATAAGCATATATATTTGAACATGATCTTCTGTGAATCTCTTTCAATTGCCTTGAGAGATGAGAAAATCAAGGCTGGTTATGCAATAAATAAAAAGCTGTTACTGGAAGGAAAATTAAATTTTCCCTCTTAGGTAACAGGAATCAAGAGAAAGGGTGGAAGCTACACAGAAACAGGAAGGACTGCCTTAGAATAAATGCATTGTCATATTCAAAATAACTAAGATATGGAAACAACCCGAGTGCCTGTGAGCAGATGACTGTGTAAAGAAAATGTGAGATACATACACACAACACACACACACACACACACACAGAAAGAGATGAATATTATTCAGCTATTTTTTAAAAAAAGAAGGCCAGGCACGGTGGCTCACGCCTATAATCCCAGCACTTTAGGAGGCCAAGGTGGGTAGATCACCTGAGGTCAGGAGTTTGAGACCAGCCTGGCTAACATGGTGAAACTCCATCTCTACTAAAAACACAAAATTAGCCGGGTGTGGTGGCGGGCGCCTGTAATCCCAGCTACTCGGGAGGACGAGGCAGGAGAATTGCTTGAACCCAGGAGGCAGAGGTGTGGTGAGCCGAGATCGTGCCATTGCACTCCAGCCTGGGCAACAAGAGTGAAACTCCATCAGGAAAAAAAAAAAAAAAGGAAGAAGAAGAAAGAAGGAAGAAGGAAGAAGGAAGAAAGAAGAAGGAAATCCTGGCACTTGCAGTAACATTGATGAATGTGGAGGCCCTCATCTAAGCAAAATAAGCCAGAAATAGAAAGACAAATACTGTATGGTGTCTCTTATATGTGAAAACTTAACTTTAAAAAAAACTTTTAAAGAGTAATACTTATTGAAACGTAGAGTAGAATGGGGTCAGAAAGGGTTGGGGGTGGGGAAGTTGAGAGATATTGGTCAAAACATACAAGCTTTCAATTACAAGATGAATAAATTCTGAGGGTCTAATGTATAGCATGGTGACTATAATATTAAAACTGTATCGTATACTTGCAATTTGTTAACAGAGTCGATCTTACGTTTTCTCGTTTAAAAAAAGTAGTCACATGGAATGATGGATATGCTAATTAGTTTGATTGTGGTAATCATTTTACAATGTATATGTATATCAAATCATTGCATTGTACACTTAAATATACACAATTTTATTAGTCAATTATATGTTAATAAAGCGGAAAAAAATGTGAGAGGAGAAGGGGACCTAGGATAAGACTTGTGGTAAAAAATTCAAGGGTCTTCCAAAAGGTTACACAGCACAGCAATTTAAAACATGAAAATACATGTTTGATCTCACCATTACACAGTAGATCCATGTTAACAAACCTGCACATGTACACTCTCAAATCTAAAATAAAATAAAATGACCAACAACAACAACAAAAAAAGCAAACAAGGATTTGATATCCCAGAATAAGAGGGAACTAGTCAGTGGGTAATAACCATTCCATTTAGAACGATACCTTAAAAAATGTAAATATTTTGAGCTTCTGCACAGCAAAGGAAACAACAACAAAAAGAATGGATTTTTTGCCTTGTCTTAGGAGGATTTCCAAACAGAGGGTTTATATTCAAACATCGGGGAGGGTGACAATTTCAAACTCCTTCCGGCTCTAGCACTCCAGTTCTATATGTGCCCTTTCCTCTATCCCAGTGGTTTTTAAATGTGCATGTGCTTCACGATGACCTAGGAAGCTCAATGAAAATAGACATGCCTGGGCCTAACCTCAGCCTAATGAATGAGAATCTGCTGCAATAGGATCTGGGACTCTGTATTTTCATCAGTCAGTTCTTCCTGATATGAGCCAATGTTTGGAACAACTGTACTACACCAGACATTTTAACCTAGACTTTAAGGAGCACTTTAAATTAGTGGATTTCAAACATTTTTATGACTGGGAAGCACAATAAGTAAATGCTCATGTATTGTTGGATAACAATTGAAGAATGATTTGCCTCAGCAATACTGTCTTTACTACATATATAAAACTCAATACTCTTTTGAATTTTCTAAGTGCAAGTTGTGACTCAATAAATTAATACTACTCTTCTCTAATGGGACTGTGACCCACAGTTTGAAGAACACAACTTTAGAATTGTGTTCTTCACAAGCTCTTTTGAGCTTCCCCAAGCTCAATTGTGTACGTGTGTGGGTAAGGGGGTTGGGGGATGGTGGGGGAGATGGATGGAAATTCGCATATCTCATTTAAACCAGAGCAGGAGCAGGGTGTGCACTTTGTCTCTCTCTCATATTCCATTCTTCCTAAGAATCTATGTATAAAGAGAGTTTTTCTTGGGTAAAAGATAAGTACATCAATAAATAAATTTCTTTAACAATTGCAAGCTGTCTATTATAGACTTGGCCCTGAAGGAGATAAAAAAAAAGATAAGTAAAACACTATCTCTTCCCTCAAGTTGCTTACCGTGCAATTGATGAGCTATGACTAATTCACATGAAGCAAATAGTAGGTAATGAAGTACTAGGGTGATATGACGAAATACCAGAATATCTCAGGCCTAGGAGTTAGAAGATTGGCATCTGATTAAAAATGTTAATGAACTTTCACTCTGTGCCAGGCTTTGTTCTAGGAATTGGGACTATATTGCTGAATAAGATGCAGTTTCTACCTTCAGTGAGCTGAAAATCCAGAGGAAAAAAGAAAAATCAGAGGCTTTTACACTCAGATGTAATCAATACTACATATTAACAAAAATACATGGGAACACAACAGAAGAACCCTAAGCCAGTCAAAAGAGTGAATAGGAGCTGACTTCTTAACTTTGGAAATATAAACTCATGCTAAGAGCATAGGAGATACCTAGGCAGAAAGAGCAAAATGCCAGGTAATGACAGGTAATGCCAGGCTCAGGAGAAAGAGGTCTGGCTTGTTGGGGAACTGCCTGTAGCTCAGGGAGGCTGAAGGACAGGGGATAGAAGAGTGGTTGTGAGGAAGACGTTAACAGAATATGCAATGCATATGGCCTTAAGTGTCATGTTAAATAATATTGACTATATGTTGAGTATTTTGGGGGAGTCATTCAAGTGTTTCTACCAGTCAGAGGTTCAAGATTAGATATGTACTTAAGGAAAACCATTTGAACTCATGGGTGGACACCAGAAAGAAAAGTGGGTTACAGGGAGTTAAAAAGAAAAAATGGGTTACAGGGAGTTAAGATAGAACTGTTCTACAGTATTCAAGCAAGAGGAGACTAAGACATACACCAGGCCATGGGCACTGTGAACAGAGCTGGCAAGCAGTGCAATAAAACTATGATTAATGGGAAAAATTAACTAATGGTAGGAATAAGTTTGGTTAGTCATTTAACCAGGTTTCTTTGTGCTCAAAATGAAAATATTAGAAAATATAATTTCAAAGTGTTTTCTCCCTGATTCAAATCTCTAAAACCATAAATTTTTCTAATAAATCCTTTACACTGGTTAAGGAGATGAGTCGGTAGTGATGATCAGGACAGTATTGTTGGTTGTTTGTTTCTGAAAAATATTGGCTTATATTTTAAATTTTTATTAAGATGGGTGTGAAACCCGAAAAACTACCATACTCAAAATGTATTAAACTTATTAATTTATTAAATACATTTCGATATGTCACTTTATATACAAATATAAATAGGACTGTTATAGTAAGTAGTCAGGCATGAGCAGGGCAGGAGAGAGCTCCCCGCAACCCCCCACCAGGAAAGTCAGGCGGCTATCAAGTGATGGTCAGGCAGTTGTCAAACTGTCTCTCTAAAATAATAATTGGTTGCAGCTGGTGCCAGGGAAAGGCAGTCTCCCAACAGATGGAAACACCTGAAACTGGCAATCAGCAGCTTCCCGATAAGACCTCAGGAACTGGGTGAGCGGGCTCACGCATGCACACTGAGAGGCAAAATGGTGGAGTTCAACAGGTATGTCACCTCCTAGGGACGTTTGACCGGAAAGGGAAGAACGCCTAAAGCGAGCATGCGGACAACTCCAGTAACACATTGCACATGGTCACCTCCCATGTGCCAGCAGGCCACTATGCATGCAGACAGCCACCCCAACGCAAGAATCAAGGCAGAAGGAATGTCAAGACCCCAGAAGTAAGCCAACGTGTAAGATCCCAAGTCAAAAGGTCCAAATGCACACTTCTCTTTCAAGTCGCCTACTTGGCCCTTTTCCAAGTGTACTTGCCTCTTTTTTTGTTCCTGCTTTAAAGCTTTTCATTAAACTTTCACTCCTGTTCTAAAACTTGCCTTAGTCTCTCCTTCTGCCCCTCAGCCAAATTCTTTCTTCTGAGGAGGCAAGAATTGAGGTTGCCTCAGCACTGTATGGATTCCTCGCTGGTAAAATACTTTGGGGCCGGTTCTTAGATATGTTCTGCCGCTAACAGGAAAGAGAAAATACTTCTCCCCACTTCCCAGTTCCTTTCCCAGAGCTATCTGAGTTCAGCCTTCTCCTGAGTAGTCAGTGAAAACTAACTGGAGCTTGAGCCTTGCACCATTAAAGTCTGATTTTCTTTACTCTGATATTTTCCTCTAAAACATGTGTTGTGGTTGTTAGATAATTTGTAGCTTGCTGTAGATATTAACATTGCTTGTCTCTGGTAGCTGACTAATGTGCTTATTTTAGGTAGCTCATTCCTTTGATGGTAAGGATTATGTGCTGAGAGATATTGAGTGCCAATTTTGTAGCGAGATATTGCTTACCCTAATTCCTATGCCTGGGCATTTAATTTGGTACATTTACAGTTCTGCAAAATGACTTGGTTTTTCTTTTGTGGTGCAAGGGGAAATAGATTTATATAGAGTTTTGACTATTATTAAGGGTTATAGGAGCTATAATATAATAATAATAATAATCACTAGCATTCATCAAGTGCTTACTGTGTGCCAGGAGTTATTCTAAGTGTGTGTGTGCGTGCGTGTGTGTGTGATATTCTTGTATAGTTTTTTCTCGTATAATACTTTCAGTCACTCTGGAGGGTAAGTAGATTACAAGTCCCAGTTTAGAGATTAGAAAACCCAGGCTGGGAGTAGTGACTCACACCTGTAATCCTCCACTTTGGGAGGTTGAGGCAGGAGGATCATTTGAGGTCAGGAGTTTGAAACCAGCCTGGCCAACATGGTGAAACTGTGTCTCTACTAAAAATACAAAAAAATTAGCTGGCTATGGTGGAGGTTGCTTGTAATCCCAGCTACTTGGGAGGCTGAGGCAAGAGAATTTCTCGAACCCAGGAGGCAGAGGTTACAGTGAGCCGAGATCACGCCACTGCACTCTAGCCTGAGCAACAGAGAGAGACTCTGTCTCAAAAAAAAAAAAAAAAAAGGGAGAGAGATGAGAAAACCCAAACATTTGAGCTCACATTTCAATCTAAGTTGTTCTATTCTATGATTCCAAAGGACTGTTTTCTCTTTTGTGCTTCCCCTTCTCCTCTTCCTCTTCTTCTCCTCCTTCTCTTATTCATTTCTTCTCTTCCCACTCACCCCCATTCTCTCTCTCATCTCCTCATCTTCCCTTTCAGCCTTTCATTTTTTCCTCCACCCCACCTTCACTTCATAATTAAGATAAACAAAAACAATATGCAATGGCATAGAACAGTTACGGTAAAATAACTAAAAGACATAATTAAAAATGAAAGGAATTCAATAACCCATTTTATTGCTTTCGACTTTCCGTGTATATATTGTTGATGAGACCACACAAGTTCCTGTCTCTCTCTGTCTCTTCTTTTCTCTCTTATTCTCTCTCTCTACCTCTGTCTTTGTCTTTGGGAGTATCCTCATTGCCTTATATTGCCATCACCCAACACATCATTGTATAATGCCTGTCACCCTCTTCCATCCTCACCACTCCAACTAAAATCCTGCCATCTGATAAAATAGTTTGCCTGTAAATGTCAAGGGATTGGTCTTTCTTCAAATGCAAATATGCCAGACAAGAATGACATTAAAAGCTGAAAATTAATTTATCAGGTCCAGGCAGGCTGGCAGTTAACTGAACGTCATTCTAATACAAGGAAATGGGGAGCCAGCAGGAGGACACTCCACGCTGCTGCTAAGAATAGGAGCTGCAAGGGGGGAGCACAGCACTGCAGACGAGATAGAAAAAGGAGTGAAACCACAAACTTCACAGTTACTCATAGCAGGCTCTGTGTTCAGGGTTAACTTTAAATTGGGTTTGTCCTTGCTTTTAAATACAGTTCTTAAAATATTCATGCCAGACAGTAAAGACAAAAAGGATCAATTTGTTTCTAGGATTTAAGACTGAAGCCCTAAAAAGTAGGTCATTTTACCTGATAGCATTGCAAAGATCATATGATCATTATTCTGCAAGAAGTATTGCAATAGATAAGAATGTAGTCTTTGGAGTCCATATGCTTAAATTTAAAACCAAGTGCTGTGATTTACAGCTGTGTTAACACTGTCCGTGACTTAATGTCTCCTGACTTAAGTTTCTCCATCTGCAAAATGGGAGCAATAATAGAACCTCAACTGTGTAGATTTAAACAAAGAATAGTAATATAAAGTAGCAGATATAATGACTGAATACATGTTGATTCTTACTGTTTTTATTAAACAGTTGGGTTCAGAAAAAAAGAGTTGAGGTGAGTTGGCTGAAGTGGGTATAAAACACACTTGCCACATTGTGTAATGTGCCCCATTCTGATTCAGCCATGATCTCTTAAAACTAGCCATATCTAACATGTTTTCCTTTTTTTCTGAAATGGAATTTTGGATCTTAATTCAAAGAAACTTTTTTTAATGCAAATATGGTCCTATATGCAGCATCTTCTGCCCTCTTCTGGCTTCTGTAAGAAATTCAAGTGGATGTATAAACTAAATCATATATTGTTTTTATTTTATTTTTCAGTGGACATCACAGTTTACCGTTTTTCTAATTCCCAATGAGAAAGAAACAATTGTAATATTTTGTATGAGATGGGAATTGTCAGAAGTTTTTAAGATTTTCTTTAAACAATTTGCTTTTGAAATAGAGATTTCATTCTACTAGTTTATTCAATAGTCTTCTTCCAGTAACAACTCTTAATATTTTAAATACTAAGTAAATAATTAAACAGGGCCACATATTATTGCAGAGACTAAAATCTGAGGTTATTATAATTCCTGAGCTAATTAATTAGAAGTTTAAAATAGAACCGGCATGTGAGAACATTTGATTACAGAAAAAGCCTAGAGATAAAGGTCCTATTTATTTTAGAGATTGTATTGGATTTTTGCTCTTTTTCTCTAACCTTCAAAAAATAAATAAAAGCATAATTTTTCAAGATAAACAATTCAAAATAATGGCGCTCATTTTGGTTTTCAGATACAGTTGAATTGAGCATCAGTTTGCTAAGCTTTCAAAGAGACAATATTTGAAGTTATCTGCCAGAGATTCCATGGCATAGCAAAAGCATTCCTGTTAGAATGCAACAACAACAACAAAAAAACCCACAGAAGTTTGCGTTGGCAAATACAAAGGAGCCAGAAGACAGCTTGCTGGGACCTGGCAGGCTGCAGTCAGCAGAGATCAACTTGCTGGGGGAGGTCTTACACATCTCTGCGCTTCCTGCAGTTGGAAAGGATTAGCCAAATTGGAATGAAAGGGACTTTGGAGGGGAAGCCCAGTTGGCAGGAAGAAAAAAGAGGAACAAATAACTTAAGATGAAAGGAAAAAAGCATTTGTGATATCAGTTGCAGGTTTTCCATTTACATCTTAGATTGTGTAATGCAGATGTCTTCAGTGTTGAAGGGTCATAATTCAAATGATCATTTTCCGACTAATCCTGAGTTATTAATGTCTAGAATTTATATGGTTCCTAGATTACCCCACTCACAAAAGATTAAATGCTTTTACAGAAAGAAACCTGCTTAGTCATTAAAACACATTACTAGGCATAAGAATAAGGCTGTGCAAATAGCCTATGAGGTTTGGACAAGGGAGAATTATGGAGCATTTCCTTCACCAAATATTAAAATGTATTAAAAGGGCACAATGCTTAAAAGTTTTGTACTGATTCCAAAAGCTATAGGCAGAATAATAAAATCAGATATTAGGCTGATAAACAAATGCTAGCCTCTAATGAATATGATATAAATTCAGGAGGAAGAAGCACTATTTAATGACTGTGATTGGCATAATTATTTAAATATTTGGGAGGAAACATAGTAGTCTCCTTTTATCCTTGGGGATAGGTTCCAAGGTCCCCAGTGAAACCGCAGATAGCACTGAAATTGGTAGACACTGTTTTTTCTGATAACCTAGGTGGCTACTAAGTGACTAATGTAGCAGATACAATGTGGATACAGCTGAACAAAAGGATGATTCCCACCCCAGGAGGGATGGAGCAGGATGGTGCCAGGTTTCATCACACTACTCAGAAAGGTATGCAATTTAAAACTTATGAATTGTTTATTTCTGCCTGTTTTTTTCATTTATTGTTTTCACACCATGATTGGCCATGGGTAACTAAAACCATGAAAAGTGAAACTGCAGATAACCAGAGGCTGCTGAGTATATTTTAATTGACATCACTAACCAAAATACACTACGGGAAGATCACAGAGTTAAATGTATTTTAAAAATAAAATAATGAAAGGGCAGTTAAATGTATATTGCAATATGTGTATGATGGCATTTTTTTTTCTGCCTCTCAAGTGACATTTTTAATGAAAATTTATTGGCAAAGGAATATAGTTGTGTCATCCTAAGTTTTAGTTACAAAACACAGAAATCTTTCCAGGTATTGTATGTAGAAAGGAAATTCACTAAAGGTTATCTGCTCAGATAATCCCTAAAACAGTCAGATAATTATGATTTAACATCATGCAGAAAAATGCCCAATCCATACTTTATCATTAGTGCAGGCACAATCGCAACATTCCCAAGCACGAGACCAGAAGGTTCTTCCTTAGATTTTGAGAGTGGACCCTACCATGAAGCTAATACCACTGATATTCCTGAAAGCTCTATGCTTCTTGGCTAGGCTATACCAAGAAAAAGATTCCACATGAGGTTTCTTTCTTTATGTCATCCATTTCCAAATTGAACACTGAAGCAGCTGGCATATATTATTGATGAAGTCTGCATCACCTAGGCCATGTCCTAACTGTTAAAGAGGCTGGAAAATTGAGACTGCTTTTACCTTGAGATGGCAGGGCTCATGGTACAATAATTTTCTCAACTATAGTTAAGGCATATAAAAGACGATGTGTGACAATAAATATGACATGCATACTCTACATGCTCAGGTTATAAATAATGGATATAAAAGTTTCATACACCATATGAGCCCTAATTGTTCAAAGGAAATTATAAATGCATACAGATTTTCTTTTTTTTTAAACAAAAACTCTAAAGACTAAAACACAAAATGATAATATTAGATTTGGGAGAAGCTAGCAGGTAGAATTTATTTTTTTTTTACATTACATTTATAGCTCTGTGTTTTCTAAATTATCTGCCATATATATTAATATATAACTTTTTAAAAAAAGTAATAAATAGAGCTTGACACCCTCAAACTGATTCTATAGCCAGTGTAGTACAATATCTGACTTAGAATTGAAAGGTGTAATTGAAAATTTAAAATTCAAAATTTTCTCTTGTCATAAGAAAACTTGAGTATAAGCTACCACCTACAAGCCTACAAAGAGGCTCACACAGGTCATATATGTAGAAGATACTAAAACCAGGCCAGGAAACCATACTTACTGTGTTTTAAAACCAGTAAAGTTTCCTTCATCTCGAGTATTTGTATTTTATCGATGACAATTGGACAACATGACGCAGGCAGTTTTTGTTGTGTTTTGTTTTTGAGACAGGGTCTCATTCTATTGCCCAGGCTGGAGTGCACTAGCATGGTCATGGCTCACCCCAGCCTCATCCTCCAAGGCTCAGGTGATCCTCCTGCCTCAGCCTCCCATGTAGCTGAAACTATAGGCATGCAGCACCATGTCTGGCTAATTTTTTTTTTTTTTTTTTTTAAGAGATGAGGTTTTTGTCATGCTGCCCAGCCTGGTCTCAAACTCCTGGGTTCAAGCAATCCACCTGTCTCAGCCTTTCAAAGTGCCAGAATTACAGACATGAGCCACCACACCCAGCCTGGCAGTTTGTTTTATGCTTTATGGTTAATGGATGTATCATCCTTATTATACGATAATTTTCAAGTACTTTGTGATTTATCATAGGGAATTCCTATTATGTAGAGAAGGGAATGTGATACCATCCAGCCCAGTCACTTGTCTTGTCAGTAAGAACTACATTTGATTCTCTTTTTGATTTATTTTCCCAGTTGTGTGATGTGGACCCTCAACACTAATGCTCACATTGAAAGCCATTTGAGATATTTTTTACCAAAAGATTCATGAGCATGAGAACTGCTACCAATTGGTATGCTTACCTGTCTGGAATGATGGAGTTAATTTACTGTGAAAATTGCATAGGAAGACTGTCTCTTTTGAGTTCCAAAACATAGAAAAATTATCATATCTTGAAGAGAGAAATCCTTTCATAAAGGACAGTGTTTGGGGGAGTTCAGGAGAGATGAAAAAGATATAGTCACTCTCTTCCATGTAACAGAAAACTTCCTAGTGGCTGAGACCAGAGTAACTTCACTATTTCCAGGAAAAGCCCAATGTCTACATTGTAATATGGCCCTCAATAAAAGCTGGTTCAATGATGACATAGATGAAAGTTATCTTTAGATTTTACTTGTATAATAGTTGTGGCCTCTTATCTAATGCTTGCCATTTGCTAGGCATTATGTCATATCTTTACATATCTTACTTCTGTCTTGAATGCTCTGTGGAGAAAAACTTAGAGATTGATTAACAATTTACAGAGTGTCTTCCCGGTTCACAGTGATTTCCCATCTGGAAAGTTCATTCCTGCCTGATTTATAATTCCCCCAATATTTACTTTTGTGATAGTGAGCCTGTCCTCTGGTCACTGCAAGTTAGACCAGGATGGATATCTTACTAAACCTGGGACTTTGAGGGTTTCCTCTCCCATAAATTTGGAAATGAATGTAAGACTCAGAGACTGCTAGTAATTCTTTGGAAGTGATCGGAAGAGTCATATGCAAACCCCAGAACTCTGAATCTCTAGAAAAAGAAAGTGGATTATGAAGCAGGTGCAGAGAAAGAGGAAGAGATCACAGGTAGTCTTGACATTTATTCCTGGTATCTGTCTTTATATAAAACCTAGCTTCAAACCCCTGAATTCTAAGTCTATCCTCTCTTTGTTTAAACTAACTAGAATTGTTTTTTGAAAGTTAGAATCAAGAATCTTGGCTAACACAGGGTATGAGTAAAACATGTACATTCATATCTGCATCCATAGAAACATATTATCCCTTATCCACAAAACAAATTCAAAAGTGTATGTTAACATCCCCATGTTATAGGTGAGGAAACAACTCAGAGAGTGGGAGCAATTTTCTCAAAACAACCTACTTAGAGTTATTTAGAACTGTTATTTAATCTGAGGTTAGAATAGCTTCAAATCCGTGAGCTTCCTAGTCCGTATATCATGCCACATTAAGATTTACTCATTTTTTAGCATGAATTTATAGAGATCCTCCTAAGGACAGGCACTGCATTTCTATGGTTTTACCAGGGTTACTGAGTAGTTGTATACATTTACATGGTGCTGCATCCATAGGTGTCTACAAGTACTGCCAAAGATGGGAGACTCAGTTAAATGTTAAGAAAAAAATCTCTTGAGACTCATTATGTATAAACTATGCTGTCAGTAAACATAACATTAAGAAGAAACCAGCTTTCAAAAGACACAGGAGGTGTCAGAGGCTTTTCATATTGCAAATCTGGGATTAATATTAGTAAAATCTGCCAATAATAAGCACTTACCAAGCTACATGTGTAGTTTAACGGAAGCAGATGCCACCTGGTATGATTTGTCTCTGATCTTCAGATGGAATGTGGCTGGAGTTGTCTGTGGACTGCTATAAGCACCTCATTTTAGAGGTTTTCTTTTTGTTTTGTTTTGTTTTCATTTCATATGCTATACAATGAGATATGTTTGAGACCATACCCAGGCACACTTTTATACAGCATCTTGAAGAATATATGATGGGTCGATGGCCCAATAATGTCTCAAATTTCTTTTTAAACCCGGAAAGGTCATGTAATTTGTTCAAAGTCACTGAGCTACTTAGTTGCAGAGATGAGGTTTGCTAGCTAGAATATACAGCCAACAAAAATCATTTAAGATAATTTAGTTTATGTATTTTTTATTTCTTCAAATAACAACACACGTTAATTAGACTGATATCAGAACTCACTTTGCATTCTATCCCTACAATCTGTCTTTCCTTGAATTTATGAAATGTAGAATGGGAAAATTATAGGTTTTATAGTTAGCATCTATAGTGCGTGGGGTACAGCATAAAAGCTACTATATTAATTACGTACATTTTGGCTTATTATATAATTCTGCCCTTTTGCTTTAGAATTTGAAATTGCCTTAAATGTGGAGAATTAAAAAAATACATAATCACTTTCATTTTTAGATGTAATTATATTCTCAAAAACTAAATGAGTGGTATGTCATAGCACCTTCATTTATATAAGATTTATGCTTGCTATCTTTTGTAACATACAAAATGGGCAAATAAAATGTAAATAATATGGCAGATTACTCTGAAGATGAAAATTATTCAGGCTTGTGAATGCTCAGGAGAGTGCATGGGCATTATTTCAAATTATCTCAAAGATAATAACAGCTAACACTTATAGAATATTTATCCAGGCACTGTTGTGAGTGCTTCATATTCATCACCTCAGCCTTCACAATCACCTGTGAGGTATTTGTATCCTGTTTTACAGATGAGGAAAATTAGGCACAGAGATTATCACTCCATCTGGTCTCAGAATTTCTTAACCACTTTCTAAATTTTCTATTTTGTGAGACAGGGTCTCACTCGGCGGCTCAGGCTGGAGTGCAGTAGCGCAATCTCAGCTCACTGCAACCTCCACCTCCTGGGCTCAAGTGATTCACCCACCTCAGCCTCCTGAGTAGGTGGGACTACAGGTGCACACCACCACACCCAGCTAATTTTTGTATTTTTAGTAGACACGTCTTTGACCATGTTGGCCAGGCAGACCTCAAACTCCTGACCTCAAGTAATCCACCTGCCTTGGCCTCCCAAAGTGCTGGAATTATAAGCATGAGCCACTGCACCAAAGATAATTCTGTCCCTTTTTTTTTTTTTTTAATGCAGCCCATGTGTATGTTGCTTGTACATGTTTGTGGACAACTTTCTAACACTTAAATGGTTATGCAGTTTTACCTGACCTGGCTACACCTGTGCTTGGCTTGGATCCTTTTCTTCTTTTGCCTTTTTAAGGCTTGTAAGAAATACGCTTTCTTTTTAGTCTTTTTTCCTAATAAGCTTTCATTGTACCATCATCCATGTTCTGCTGACAGATTTCACTTTTTTTTTTTTTTTTTTTGTGAGATGGAGTCTCGCTCTGTCGCCCAGGCTGGAGTGCAGTGGCGAGATCTCGGCTAACTGCAAGCTCCGCCTCCCAGGTTCAAGCCATTCTTCTGCCTCAGCCTCCTGAGTAGCTGGGACTACAGGCGCCCGCCACCACACCCGGATGATTTTTTTCTGTATTTTTAGTAGAGACGGGGTTTCACCGTGTTAGCCAGGATGGTCTCGATCCCCTGACCTCATGATCCGCCTGCCTCGGAGTCCCAAAGTGCTGGCATTACAGGTGTAAGCCACCGCGCTCGGCCCCAGATTTCACTTTTATTTTTATTTTAGATTTGGGGGGTACACGTTCATGTTTCTTACATGGGTATATTGCATAATGGTGGGGATTGGGCTTCTAACATGTATCCATCACTCAAATATTGAACCGTGTATCCAATAGGTAATTTTTCAAACCTTGGCCCTTTCCAAACCTCTCCCCTTTTGGAGTCGCCAGAGCCTATTATCTCCATCTTTATGTACGTATGTACCCATTATTTAGCTCCCATTTATAAGTGAGAACATGCCATCTTTGATTTTCTGCTTCTGAGTTAGTTCATTTAGGATAATGGCCTTCAGCCTCATTCATATTATTGCAACTGACATGTTTCTTTCCTTTTATGGCTAAATAGTATTCCACGGTGTATATATACCAATGAACTATTGGTGGACTTTTAGATTGGTTCCATAACTTTGCTGAATAGTGCTGCAATAAAAATATGAGCACATATGTCTTTTTTAATATAATGATTTATTTTTCTTTGCTGTAGATACCGAGCAGTAGGATTGGTGGGTCGAATGGTAGTTTTATTTTTAGCTCTTTGAGAAATCTCCATACTGTTTTACATAGAGGTTGTACTTATCTACATTCCCATCAATAATGTATAAGTGTTCTTTTTGAATACGCACTGACATCTTTTTTTTTGACTTTTTAATAATAGCCGTTCTGACTAGTGAAAGATGACATCCCCATGTAGTGTTAATTTGCTGTTATCTGATGATTAGTGATGCTGAGCATTTTTTCATGTTTGTTGGCTGCTTTTTTTTCCTCCTTTTAAGAAATATTTGTTCATGCCTTTTCCCCAGTTTGTCATGGGCTTCTTCATTTTTATTTTCTTGTTGAGTTCCTTGTAGATTATGGATATTATTCTTTGTTGGTGGCATAATTTGCAAATACTTTTTTCCATTCTATGGGTTGCCTGATTATTCTGTTGATTATTTCTTTTGCCATGATAGGATTTTTAGTTTAATTAAATTCCATTTTTCTATTTTTGTTATTGTTGCATTTGCTTCTGGGGTCTTTGCCATAAATTCTTTACCTAAGCTATGTCAGAGGAGTTTTTCCTAGCTTTTCTTCTAGGGTTTTTATAGTGTCATGTTTTAAGTATAGATCTTTAATTCATCGAGTTAATTTTTTTATATGGTGAGAAGTAGGGGTCCAGCTTTATTCTTCTGCATATGATTAGCCAGTTTTCCTAGCACCAGTTATTGAATAGGGTGACCTTCCCCCCATTGTTTATTTTTGTCAACTTTATCAAAGATCAGTTGGTTGTGGGTATGTGGCTTTATTTCTGGGTTCTCTATACTGTTCCCCATTGATCTATGTGTCTACTTTTGTACTACTACCATGCTGTTTTAATTTCCACAGCCTTACAATATAATTTGAAGTCAGGAAACATGATGTTTCAGGATTTGTTTTTTTACTTAGGAGTGCTTTGGCTGAATGGACATTTTTGGTTTTGGTTTGGGTCCACAAAATGAGCTTTAGGATTTTTTTTTAATTCTTTGAAAAATGACATTGGTAATTTGACAGAAATTGCATTGAATCTGTAGATTTCTTTGGGCAATATGGTCATTTTAGAATGGCATGAACCTGGAAGGCGGAGTTTGCAGTGAGCCAAGATCGCACCACTGCACTCCAGCCTGGGCGATAGAGCGAGACCTCATCTCGAAAAAAAAAAAAAAGAAAGAAAAAAATGGTCATTTTAATGATATTGATTCTTCCAATCCATGAGCATGAGATGTTTTTCTATTTGTTTATGCCCTGACCTTTCAAAAAATTATTCTGCTGTTCTAACTTAGAGCCTCATTGACTTCTTGACCTATCCAAAGATCAATTTTTACTTATTAAATTATTCATCTTTTTGTAATATTTGATACTCTTAACCACTTCTCCTTCTTGAAACTTTTTATCCCTAAACTTTTATGATGCCATTTTCCATAGCCCCTTTCTGATCATTCCAGCATCATCATGACTATGTTCCCTCTTTTCTTTGTTCATTAAATGATTTAAGTCAGTGGCCTAGATCCTAAAACTAGATCTAGCACCCAGAAATGAATCTGGCATATTGAATGATCTCAATAAATATTATCTGAATAGTTTGTCCTTATGAAATCTAGCCAATGCCTATTACTTAGACTATACCTCATGAACTAGCAAATATGAAATCCAGAACTCAGGCTTAGGAGGTTTAGGTCCAGATCTAATGCCATGCTTTTCCCTTCCTACACTTTTTTTCATCTCATTTTTTTTAATCTGATGATTCATTCTTTCCTGATAACACATACACACATACTCACATTGAGGCTAATTGGGTTTCGGGCATGAGCTAAGTGCTGTGTCTGTGGTGGTGAACTTCTTGTCTTTGTGACAGTTATGTAGGTAAGGACACCAGCTCACTATACTGTATTCTCTGTCCTCTCTTCTTCACCCTTCATTTCATTTTTCAAACTCATGCCAGACTATTCTTTGGAAAATGTCTAACACTCATTTAAAATTCTTCAGTGGCTCAACATTACACATACAATGGAGTTTCATCCTTCTTGACATTTCATAGAAGGCCCTTTATAATTTGATCTCTGACTATATACCCTCAATCCTCCACATGCCCACTTGTATATTGTATTCCAAATGGAGTAGGTTCTTTAGTATTCCTGAATAATGCAATGGCTTTGCTCATCTAAGTGTTTTCTATACATATCATCTTGTTGGAATTTGGTAGGAATTTTTTGGGGGGAGCAATAGATAACACTTCCCGTGCCTGCTTGGGTTCTGAGTTCACTTAGAATTATACATGAAGCCAGATAGGTATAATGCAAAATGCGACCTTCACCCTGATAATGTGTATATTAGAGTATGAAGTTTATATGGTTAGGCAAGTGGGTGTCCCTAAATCTCAGAATAGACAGCCTTATGCTGTCTTTCAGTCAAAAACAACACTGAAAAATTGCAGCTTCACCATGGGAGAAGAAGGACTTTCGTGATAAGCTTTCTGTATGGCCCAGAGAAAGATTATTGACTCTCTGAGAGAAGGAGAGCTATTCACAGTAGCCAAGATATGGAAACAACCCAAGTGTCTGTTGACAGGTGAGTGAATAAAGGAAATGAGGGGTGTGTGTGTGTTAGATATATATATATGATATATATATATGATATATATATATCATATATATGATATATATATATCATATATATGATATATATGATATATATATGAATATTACTATCATTCATAATATTATATATTATATATCATTCATATATAATATATATATGAATATTATTAAATCTTTAAAAAAGAAGGAAATCCTGCCAGTTGTGACAATGTGGAAGAAACTGAAGGGCATCATGTTAAGTAAAATAAACTAGACACAGAAAGACAAATATAGCATGATCTCATTTATATAAAATAGTTGAAGTCATAGTAATAGTTAGTGGAATAGTGTTTACCAAGGGTTGTGGGTGGGGAACTAGGGAAGATGTTAGTCAAAGGATTCAAAGTTGCAGTTACAAGATAAATAAGTTCTGGAGACCTAATGTTCAGAATGGAAACTATAGTTAGTAATAATATATTGTGCATTTTCCATTTGCTAAAACAGTAGATCTCAAGTGTTCTCACACACACAAAACAATAGCAACTAAGTGAGATGATGGATGTGTTAGTTGGCTTGATTGTGTAATCATTTCACCACATATACTTATATCAAAACATCCCATTGTTGTATGACTTTAATAAATTCTATTTGTATTTTCCGGCTATACCTTAATAAAGCTGGAAAGTAGGCTTAAAAGTATTTTCACCCTTTGACCCGCCAATTCTTCTAGAATACCTAGAAGAATTCTCCTAGATATACTAGGGAAATTGGGTTTGATGCACAAAGATTAATGCACAAGGTTGACATCCTAATATTATCTCTAGTTGTAAGAAAATTGTTTACCATTAATGTCTCACAATTCAAAGTTAATTAAATAAATTATGAAACAGTCATTAAAGAAAAAGAAGAGAGAGAGAGAATACACAGCCCTGTTCTCCTTTCAAAATCACCAGTCAGATTAAGTTAGTGAGAGAACAGAGAACGCCCAGAAGTACTATGAAAGTAAAATTCCCTCAAACTGTAAGTATTTTTGGATGAGTAATGAATATATGGATCAAATATACAAATATAACCTGATTTTATCAGGAACTTTTCTATTTTGCATTAAAACAAAACAGAACAAAAAACCTTTACTTTGCCTTAAATGAAGTCGATTAGCTCACAAAACCAAAATGTATGGGGACAGAATTTTCTTTAGGTGTGGTTGAATGAGTCCAGGTACCCAAGCAATGTCATAAGATTTGGTCTGTCTTCATCTCTGCTTCCCTCTATCCCAATTCCAATTCCAGGCAGGCTCTTTTGTTACTAAGACAGTAAGATTACTATCAGCAACTGGCAACTATCCCATAAATGCTGCTCACCAGGTAGAAAGAGGGCTTCATGTTCCCCAAAATTCTAGCAAAAGGCCTGAGGTTATCATTGGATGACTTAGGCTTTGAAGTAAAAGAATATACTTTTTTTTGCTAAGCCTGATTCTGTGTCCCCACTAGAACTATGGTTAAAGTTAGTAGCTGAAGGACTGAGATGAGGGAGGGGTGGCTCACCAAAGGGATAGCAGAGTGTTGTTTCAGAAGAAAGAGGATCTATTTGGAACATGCAGAAACAATGGATGTCCACATATTCACTGTTCCTTAGGTGAAAGGAATGATAAAGCAAGGTAGAACAGATTTTGTGTATCAGTGAAGCCGAGTCTAGGTAAAAGTGTCTTTTCTAGATTATGCTTATTGTTAAATTTTACTTCTCCATGATTCTGTTGCAGCTAGCCAAGAGATCGTACTCATTTTTTGTTAGCCTAGAAATCACTTTCTTGAAATAGGTGAACTGGGAAATCTTTTTGTTATACAGAAAATATTGTTGCTGTGACAATTGTGGTAGTAGAGGCCTGTTGGAAGTGAGTTGGGAAATAGAAGAAACCCCAGTCTCCTCTGTCAGATGAAATGGTACAAGCAGCTGTAAATTTTTCTGTTCGACTTTCCCCTAGAATCACACAGAAATATACAGACACACATATACAGAAACCCACATATACAAACACACAAAAACAGGCCAAATCATCATCTAACCCAAAAATGATGAAACAAAAATATATACATGCCAACTTTCATCTAATAGAAATAAAAATACCTCCAGAATTTCAACTTAATGGTATGTGTCAGATTGTATTGACTCACTTGTGAAAGAAAAATTGCAGTATTACTCATTCTTATTTCAAAGAACATATTTAGAGGTCTCAGTGATTCGTGATGATCAGCAAAAACAAACCCTTTGTGCTCTGTCGTACACTGGCAGGGATGTCTGTGTTAGCTTTGCCAAGGCCCCAGTTGTGCTCATTCCAATATGGACTAATTTTATTTTCCTTTCCCCCTCTCTCTTTCTCTGTCTCTCTCTCTCTCTCTGTTTTTAATGTTTGAAAAATACAATAGAATTGTCTCTTCACCACGTGGATATCTGCATGTGTTAAAATTTCTTCTATTTTAAGCTCACTCTCTTTTTAATTTAACAGGACATGTCAGAACATGCAGTCTCTTTTCTTTTCACCCTCCTAGAAAATAGGAAATATACAAACCGATCTTGGTGGAGGCAAAAAGCCAACTTGTAGGGGAAACAAACAAATAATAATTAAGCACACAAACAAATATAAATAAAGAAACAACATTTGAAGGTCTGGGTGATTTGATTTGAGTTGAAATCCCACAGCATTTGATATAAAGAACTGCAGTACGAAAGAATAACAGCAAGGACATAGGGAGAAATACGGACAGTCTTCTTGCCTGGATCTTAATAGGCAAGGCATTAACTTTGCCTTACCTCAGTTTCCCAGAAGACATTAAAACGAAACTTCTCAATTATAAATATCCATACATAGGCTTACTATATGAAAAAAATAAGAAAAATATCTCACACTTATTGAGAGTTCATTTTTATGTGAGATAATATGTTTAGAATATATACAACATATATAATATGTATATATATAACATATATAATATATATAATATATATCTAAATATATACATATCCCAAAATAAAAAAAAATTACCCTTTATGAGGCTGACTTGGATAATTATCTCCTTTTTACAGGTGAGAAGACACGTTGATTTAAGGCACTATCATAAATGCTGTGGTATACCCTTCAGATCCTTATTCAGGATAAGGTATTGCTGTGGTTTGAATGTTTGTCCCCTTTAAAACTCATGCTGAATTTTGTTGTTGTTGTTGTTTTTATTTGTTTGCTTTTGAGACAGGTCTCACTCTGTTGCCCAGGTTGGAGTGCAGTGGTGCGATCTTGGCTCATTGTAACCTCCACCTCCCGGGCTCAAGTGATCCTTCCACCTCAGCCTCTCGAGTAGCTGGGACCACAGGCACGCACAACTACGCTCAGCTAATTTTTGTATTTTTTTGTAGAGACAGGGTTTTTCCATGTCGCCCAGGTTGGTCTCAAACTCCTGGACTCAAGCGATCCACCCACCTTGGCCTCCCTAAGTGCTGGGATTACAGGCATGAGCCCCTGTGCCTGGCTTATATTGAAATTTAAACCCCAATGTGGCAGTACTGACCGAGCATGGGGCCACTAAGATGTGATTAGATCATGAAGGCTCTACTTTCATGGATAGATTATTCCATTCATTGATTAATACATTAATGAATTAATGGGCTAATGGGTTATCATTGGAGTGGAGTTGGTGGTTTTATTAAAATAGGAGGAGACCTGAGCTAGCATACTCAGCCTCCTCTCTATGTGATTACCTGTGCCATCTTGGGACTCTTCAAAGTTTCCACCAGCAAGAAGGCTCTTAACAGATGCAGCCTTTTGACCTTTGGCTTTTCAGCATCCGTAACTATAAGAAACAAATTACTTTTTTTTAAATAAATTACCCAATTTCAGGTATCCTGCTATAAGAAACAGAAAACTGACTAATACACAGATGCCTATTTCCCTAGATGTCTGAAATGTTGGCTTCAAAAGTGCACAGCTGAATTCCTCTTGGGGAATTCCTCTGCCAAAGAAAACCCCCTTGTTCTAGGTTACACTTAGTCCCTTTGGACAATCTCCTTCCACTCACTAGTTTGGAAGAGAGTACAAAAGCCCACTCCTTGCCTCAATCTGGGACATCTCTGAAAGGCCATCTTAGCTCCAGAATTCCCTGAGGGATTGCTGGGGCTTTGGTAGCAATCACATTGCTGTTCAGCTTCTCCCTCTGGCCAATCCTATTACTATCACTCCTCATGGGTGTTGATTAAGAGCACTCCTCAGTGAACCTTCTTCATACAAATTTTGTCTCATAGTCTATTTCTGGCAACCACAGCCTAAGGCAGGCATCTAGAATAGGTGCCAATTAAATGTCTGATATTACAGTTATTTATCAGAAGTACCTATATTAACAATAGATTGTTCTAAAAAGTCAGTTAAGTAATAGAGAAAGTGTAAAGGCTTTGCATTTTATCCAAATACTTACTACATTTATTGTTACACATAGATATCATTACGTAATGCTTCATCAATTAATCTCTGGCCATATTACCTGAGAGATATAACCATGTAGCATAAAGTCAGCGCTGCCCCAAATGCTGTTGGCTTACAATAAGTAGGACCAGTAATTTTATTGGTCTTTTTTCTTGTGTTATGCAATGCATAATAAGGAAATGTGTGGTCGTCAGTGCCTGAATGCCACTTTCAGTAATAGAAACGCCTTCTGGGGAAATAAGACTGGTGCCAGGACAAGAATATGGAAGCAAGCTTGAAATTATTTCACTTCTATTTCAGAATGGTTTTTAAAAAAAGAAAAAAAAAGGCAGGAGCAAGACCATTTTGAGGGCTGCCACCACACTGAGGCATTTCAATGAAAATACTTCTATAGCTTTCTGTAACCTACTAAACAGAAATCCAGGGATCTCAGGTGGGCCTGTCAGCCGTGCCAACTTACCTTTGCACATGATCATTCACAAGGTCCCTTCGTGAGCACTTAGTATTCTTTTTTCCAAAGTGGACTTAGTTATTCCCTAAACAGAAATAAAAACAAATATGTTAAAAAAAATGGAATATAAACTTTCTGGCTAAGATAGTGCAAGCCCCTACAGATATTCTCTCCTGGTGATTACAGCCCATAATCCTAGACAAAATTTTTTCAAGAGCAACTTATTAAACATTCAACAAAAACAGGCAGACTAGGGAGGGGAGTCAAAAACTGAAGACATGCCCTGAAAAGGCATGAGGCCCCATTGCTTTATTTATTTATTCATTTTCCCTTGAGAGGCCACAGTTGAATTTTGGCAATAGTGGAAAGAGCATTAAAACGGAAAGAATCCCTTGTTTTTGGCTACAGAGACCCCCTCCCCCCAAGAAATCCCTAAAACCTGAAGGATGAGGATAAATATCAGAGAGAAGACATCTGTATAATGGGAACCCATAAGGCTGTATATGGACCTGCAAAAGTCCTGGCCTTAACACTAAGCTTTTTGTGTAAGACAGACACAGACTAGCATAGAAACGATTTTGAAAACTAATCTGACATTAGAAATATCATGTAGAGAAGGAATATAGAAGTTAAAATTTGAACCAAACTGTGTTGATTGCCAGCCAAAACAACAACAGAAATCTACATTCTCCAGAGGATTTTAACAGGACCTAGTATCCATGCAGCATAACATATTTTCAATTAACAGTGATTCAATATACAAAGAACCAGAAAAAATTTTATAGGTTATCTAGAGAAAAGACTAACAGATGACACCTGTGAGATGACCCAGATGTTGAAATTATTAGACAAAAACTTATGGCAGCTACTATAGCTATACTCTATAATATAAAGATAAACACAATTGAAATAAATGGAAAGATAACCATTTTCAGTAGAGAAATAGAAATTATTAGACCAAAACTTTAACCAGCTACTATAGCTATACTCTGTAATATAAAGATAAACACAATTGAAATAAATGGAAAGATAACAGTTTTCAGCAAAGAAATAGAAACTATAAAAAAATAACCAGGTAGGGCCGGGAGCAGTGGCTCATGCCTGTAATCCCAGCAGTTTGGGAGGTCCAGGCAGGTGGACCACCTGAGGTCAGGAGTTAACGACCAGCCAGACCAACATGGTGAAACCCCGTCTCTACTAAAAATACAAAAAATTAGCTGGATGTGGTGGCATGTACCTTTAATCCCAGCTACTTAAGAGGTTGAGGCAGAAGAATCCCTTGAACCTGGGAGGTAGAGGTTGCAGTGAGCCGAGATCGTGTCACTGCACTCCAGCCTGGCAACAGAGTGAGACTCCGTCTCAAAAAAAAAAAAAAAAAAATTAGAACGAAAAAATGAAATATCTGAAATAAATTTTTCACTAAAAGAGCTCAATAGCAGAATGAAGATGACAGAGGAAAACGTCAGTGGACTTAAAGATAGACTAAAATAAATGTTTAAATCTGAAAAATTATACACTTACAGATTCAACAACCCTGAACTCCCCATCCCCAAATAAATTAAAAACTAAAAGACCATCCAGACACATATCAATGTAACTGATGAAAACCAAAGATAAAGAAAACATCTTGAAAGCAAATGGAGAAAACTAACATATTACATAGGGGGAACAAAATGTAAATCACTTTCTATTTCTTGTCAGAAACCATGTAGGCCATAAGACAGTGAAACAACAAATTTAAAATGCTAAGAGAAAAAAGCTATCAACAAAAACTTCTATATACATTGAAAATGTCCTTCATGAAAGAAGATGAAATAGAAACATTCACAGATGAAAGGAAACAGAGAATTTGTCACCAGCAAATCTGCTCTAAAAGAAATGCTGAAGGAAGTTTTCCAGGCTGATGGGAAATTACACTAAACAGAAACTTCAAAGTTTGGAAATGAAGAAAGAGCATGAAAAATAGTGACTATCTGGGTTAATATAAAAGACAAATTTCTCCCCTGAATTCTATAAAATACATATGACTATTGAAAGCAAAAATTATTGCAGCGTCCAGTGAAGTCAAGTTTGTATGTGTATGTATGGCAACTACAAGATAAAGGAGGAACCTAAATACTTGTAGTAAGATTTCTAAATTTTATTGGTGTAGTAAAATGTTACCTCTACATACATACAGTAAAAGGGGGAGCTGTATACATTGTAGTCTCTGGTGCAACCACTAAGAAAAAAAAGTAATACCATAAAATATAAGCAAAAAGACAATAGATGAGTAAATACTAAGTGCAGAAAAATTATATTAAAAATATATAAGAAATGATAATTCTCAGAAAATTAGCAAAAGAAAATAACATCTTTAATGTAATAAAGGTTATCTATAAAACTATACACATAGTGAGAACTGAATTCATTCTACAAAGATCAGGAACAGGGCAAGGGTGGCAGCTCCTGTCACTCCTATTCAACATAATACTGGAATACTAGTGATTGCAATAAAACAAGGAAAATAAATCAAAGGCATACGGGTGAAAAAATGAAGGAATAAAAATACTTCTTTTGTAGATGATATGATTATCTGTGTAGAAAATCTCAAAGACCCTAAAAAACTTATCTTAGAACTAGTAAGTAAGCTTTTGTGATTGTGGAACAAAATTATACCAAAATCAATTGTCTTCCTATATACTAGCATTAAATAAATAGAAATCAATATTTAAAAGTAGTGTTTTTTTATCATAGCACCAAACAACATTAAAAATGTATAAACAACATGAAATAGGTATAAAGCTTTAAAATTAAGTGCAAAACTTGTTTACAGTAAGTCCTCACTTAACATTGTCAATAGGTTCTTGGTGAAAGTGACTTTAAATAAAACAATGTACAGCAGGTTCTGAAATAACATTGTTTTCTTCAATGTTTCATTATGATGTTGATGAGAAAAAAAAGAGTTGTTATACATCATTTTGCTTAAAATCGCAGTTAGGAAGTTATACTGAAAATGACAAAGCACTAACGAAAGGGCTAAGACTGAAATAATTAGAAAGATATACTATGTTCATTACTAAGATATCAGTTCTCCCTTTGTTGATTTATAGATTTAATGCAATTTTGAACAAAATTCTAGCAGGATTTTTAAATAGAAATCAACAAGCTAATTATAAAATATACTTAGATGTCAAAGGAAATAGAATAGTCAAACCATTCTGAAAATGAGGAATAATGCTATAAGACTCGCTTTAAGTGACTTCAAACTTATTATATATAAAGCTACAGTAATCATAATTGTGTTTTTTGTGGAAGGATTGATATGTAGAAAAATGGAGTATATTCATATATATATACACAACTGATTTTTGACAAAGGTGCTAAAATAATTCAAAGAAAAAAGATAATCTTTTCAACAAATGATGCTAGAAAAACTGGATGACTCTAAGCAAGAAAAAAAAATTAACCTCAACTCATACTTCAGACCTTTCAAAATACTAACTCAACACGTATAACACCTTTCACTGTAAAACCTAAAACCACAAAACTTCTGTAAGAAAACAAAAGAGAAAATCTGTATGATTTTTAGATTGCCCAACATATTCTTAGATAAGTCACCAAAATCGCTGTTCAAAAAAGAAAAAAATAAGATAATTAAATTATATTCAAATTTAAACATAATCGGTGAAAAATACCATTGAAAAAGTAAAAAGACAAGTCACAGACTGGAAGACAAGGTTTTAAAATTATATAGCTGATAAAGAATTTGTGTCTGAAACTATACAGAATTTTAAAATCCAATAATAACAAGCAATCCAAGTTATTTGAAAACACAAAAAAGCAGAACTATAGAGACATTTCACCAAAGAAGATACTCAGATTGCAAGCATATGTAAAAGTGTTTAATATCATTATTAGGTGGATTAGTTTCCTAAGACTGCCATCACAAATTGCCACAAACTGGGTGTGTATTAGTTCGTTTTCATGCTGCTGATAAAGACATACTTGAGACTGTGAAATTTATAAAGAAAACGAGGTTTAATGGACTCACAGTTCCACGTGACTGGGGAGGCCTCACAATCGTGGCAGAAGGCAAAAGGCATGTCATACCTCGTAGCAGGCAAGAGAGAATGAGAGCCAAGCAAAAGGGAAAACACCTTATAAAACGTCAGATTTCATGAGACTTATTCACTACCACGAGAACAGTATGGGGGAACCGCCTCCATGATTCAATTATCTCCTACTGGGTTCCTCCCACAACATGTGGCAATTATGGGAGCTACAAATCAAGATGAGATTTGGGTGGAGACACAGCCAAACCATATAAGGGTGGCTGAGAAATAAAACCAAAAACCAGAAATTTATTCTCTGAAGATGGGAAACAGTTTGGCAGCATTTCACATAGTTAAACATAAACTTATGTTAACATATTAATATTTACTCAAGAGAAATCCAAATTTATGTTCACATAACAACTCACATTCAGATACTGATGGTGGCTTTATTAATAATTGTTAAAAAGTAGAAGCAACCCAAATCTAGTGGTTAGTGGATAAGGAAACTATGGTACATCCACACAATGGAATACTACTCAGCAGTAAAAAGGAATTAACTGTTGATACATAAAACAATATGAATGCAACTCAAACGCATCATGCATTATCCTAAGCAGCATATCAACACAACTCCCCTAGGTCAAGTTCTTCCCCAGAGGGAATTCAGTTATAAGGTGTTATAATAGCAATATTTATGCATTTTTATAATCTATTATAGCACTTATCGCTAAAGCGTTAACATCTATTTTCTTGTCTGTTTCTCCCACTAGTCTGTGAAATCAAGGGTAGACTTCATCATTTCTAAGCTTAGCACAGTGGTGATTATGCAGTGAATATTCAATAAATAAATAAATAAATAGCCAGACCTTCTATTGCACTATGATTACATCATTTCTTAAATCTGCTACATTATTTCCTACCATTCCCCTCTTATTTTGTCATATCCTCAAAGTCCTTCCATCCATGCACGGGTACATCTATGACCCATTTCCTTACCTCTCCAGATTTCAGCCCTCTAAATTCTGAACTTTAATGGTTTCGTTGTTCCACTTCTTTTCTGAAGGCAAGAGGTGTGTTTCATATATTCTCATATAGTCCTAAGTGTAGTATCCTCTAATGGGGAGTTAATCTTTAATTGATTCAACCAGTATTTACTAAGTGCCTATAATTTGCCAGTTTCTGTTCTACAAGCTGGGTACATAGCAGGGACTCAAATATACAAATGTCCCTCCTCTCAAAGAGCTTATGTTCCAGTGAGAAAAGTTTCAGAATAAACATAAAACAAATAAATACATAACATGTAAGCTGGCAGTAAGTACCAGGGAAATAAGAAAGGATTAGGAGATAAGCATTGGGTACATATGTGGTGGTGGGAGGAAAGTCACATAGAAGGAGGGATTGCCATTTTGTGTAGAGTGATTGGGCAAGATCTAATAAAATAAAGATTAAATAGAGACTGAAGAAAGATAAGGACTGAGTCGGGCAGAGTTATGGAGAGAAAAATCACTCTAGCATCCCACTTATTCCTGGATGAGCACCTTAAAAGTTCACAAAGGGGAAAAAAAGAGGGGGCATGTTCATGCAGATGGAGATAAATATTTTAAATCTTTCAAATACAACAGAGCATCTTTTTCATGAGTAAAACCTATACTTTAATGGGATCTTATAATTTAGGGTGGAGAACTGCTTGAGAGCACAAGGCAATGTTTCTTTTACCTGTTGTTAAAACCAAGCAGGCTGCCATGTATTACAGTGTAGGGTGCAGGTAGCAAGGCTGAATGACTCTTCTAAACTCTGTCCTTAAAAATATGTCCTCCACAGGCCGGGTTTGGTGGCTCACGCCTGTAATCTCAGCACTTTGGGAGGCCGAGGTGGGCGGGTCACGAGGTCAGGAGATTGAGACCATCCTGGCTAACACGGTGAAACCTCGTCTCTACTAAAAATACAAAAAAATTAGCCTGGCATGGTGGCGGGCACCTGTAGTCCCAGCTACTTGGGAGGCTGAGGCGGGAGAATGCAGTGAACCCAGGAGGCGGAGCTTGCAGTGAGCTGAGATTGTGCCACTGCACTCCAGCCCAGGCAACAGAGCCAGACTCCGTCTCAAAAAAAAATGTCCTCCACATACTATCATATCACCCTCTATCTTCTTTGTCTCAATGGCAGTTTGAGGGGCAAAATCTATCATTTAAGATTTAGTTCTGAAAAGGGAATAGGCAAAAACAGGAGGTAAAGAAATAGCCAATCATCTAATGCCTGAGCACAGCGGGAGGGACAATGATCGGGGTATAAACCCAGGCATTCGAGCTGGCAATGGCAACCCACTTTGGGTCCCCTCCCTTTGTATGGGAGCTCTGTTTTCACTCTATTAAATCTTGCAACTGCAAAAAAAAAAAAAAAAAAAAAAAAAAGATAAAAAGAAAGAAAGAAAAGGGGAAATATCAAAATTGTCAGGAGATTTGATTAATGTAGGATCACAGTTCAGTGAGAAACAATACTTGACTTTTATTTAAAGTGACAAGGTAATATTTTAAAAGTAAATATAGGTGGTAATATAATTGTTAAATATATTAGTTATTTCAAAAGTGAGAGTATTGGTTATCTTAAAAAGTCAAGGACATGATAAAATCAAGATTAAAACATAAAAACTTATTCTGAGAAGAAACAGTTTTCATTTTTCAGGCAGATTATTCAGAAAAAAAAAATAAAACTTTTAGAACCTCTTAAAAAGACCAGTATATTAAAAAGAAAAAAAGAAAACACAAACTTTTTTTGAAAATATGCATTGACGAATACAAATTCCCTTTTCTTGACCTTTTTACAAGTTTATACATTAAAATTTTTTTTCTTAAACTTCCCTCCTCCTCATTCTGTAACAGTCATTTTACTTTAAGACAAAGCTATACTCTCTTTTTTCTTTAACAAAAATACTTTCTTGTAGTATAATTTCTCAAAATGGCAAAAATGAACACATTTATTAACACAAATATGTATAGTCTCTTGGCACCATATTAATATGAGGCAAAAAAATATGAACTTACAATTATTCTTTATGACTAATGTTTTAGTATTTCTGTCTTTGAAATTCTACCTAGATACCTACTGAATCTTCTATCTGGATACTTAATGAACGCCCATTAATTATCTCAATTTAGTAACAGTCGAAGGTTTCAAATTATCTAAAGATCTTGGAAATTCTCTTCAAACTTACTTACCAGAAAATATAATTACTGTTGAAATACAGTTTGTTAGAATAATTACTCAATTTTGTTAAACCCAAAGTAATTTTTTGTAATATTATACCTTAAGTAGAAATAATACTAGCTTATATGATCAGTAAACCTATAAGCTTAAAAATAACATACCGAAGTAGAATAAAAATGTACATGGGCCAGGCGCGGTGGCTCATGCCTGTAATCCCAGCACTTTGGGAGGCTGAAGCAGGCGGATCACGAGTTCAGGAGATCGAGACCATCTTGGCTAACACGGTGAAACCCCATCTCTACTAAAAATACAAAAACAAATTAGCTGGGCATGGTGGCAGGCACCTGTAGTCCCAGCTACTCGGGAGGCTGAGGCAGGAGAATGGCATGAACCCGGGAGGCGGAGCTTGCAGTGAGCCGAGATCGCGCCACTGCACTCCAGCCTGGGCGACAAAGCGAGACTCCGTCTCAAAAAAAAAAAAAAAAAAAAAAAAAAGTATATGATATGGTTAGGCTTTGTGTTCCTGGCCAATATCTCATCTTAAATTATAATCCCCATAATTCCCATGTGTTGAGAGAGAGACTAGGTGGAGGTAACTGTATCATGGGGGCAGTTTCCCTCATGCTGTTCTCTTGATAGTGAGTGAGTTCTCACAAGATCTAATGGTTTTTATAAGGAGCTCTTCTCTCTTTGCTCAGCACTTCTCCTTCCTGCTGCCTTATGAAGAAGACGCCTTGCTTCCCCTTTGCCTTCGGGCATGATTCTAAGTTTCCTGAGGCCTCACCATTCATGCTGAACTGTGAGTCAATTAAGCCTCTTTCCTTTATAAATTACCCAGTCTTGGACAGTTCTTTATAGTAGTATGAAAATGGACGAATACCGTATACTTGCATTATACTGATAATAATGACAATTTAGAGAAAACATAATTATTTGTATTAAACCAAAATTATTAAACTAGTCTTATTTGCTGACATTTTACCTAAATTATGTGAATATTCTTGAAATATTTTTGAATTAGTTTCTCTAAGAATATCTCTTTTTTTCACCTTGAAATTCTTTGAGATTGTTTTCTTAATTTCTGGTAATATTAGGATTGGCCAATTGTATAGAGGCTTCTTCATCCCTAAGCCAATCATGATAGAACTTCTTTAATGTAAGGAATTTCAAATAGTAGTAATAGTACTAATTAATTAGTACTATCCAGAGGTAAGAAATTTATTGTATATTCACATAGTTGAAGTGAAAGACTTTTTTGAATTATAGACATATAAACATATGGACAGATACAGATAGCTTATAGTCTCAATTATATAATTGCAGCCATGAGTCAAGCATAAACACACAAATACACAATTCACAGGTCCATATCAAAGACCCAGTCTCTACTCAGTGGGTGTACATTCTTAATAATTTGGACTCAAAATAGATACATCAATAAACAGCACAGACTAACAAACCAACTTCTTTGTCTTCTTTGCACCCAACAAAGACATGCTCTCTCTAAATCATTAATCTCATTACAAGGATCAACAAATGATCAGACTAAGTTAAGAAAAGAAAGTCATCCAGGAGTCCTATTGGAGCTATAAGGAAGGATGGAGATCTGTCTTATCTCAGAATATGGAGAGCAGGGTCCTTTGAGATTAGCATGAAAGGATGGAAAGATTTCTTAACCACTGCAGCTTTCTAATGGCATAGGGCTCAGGTGAAGTTTAACATCATCACAGTTCTTTTAAGTAGATACTATTATAATTGTCATATTCTTGATGAGAAAACTAGGGAATAAAGAGAATAAGTAACTTGCCCAAATTCACATAGTTGCTAAGTGGTAGAGATGGGAATCAAACTCTTGAAGTTTCACACTAGAGTTTATGCTATCCATCAACATATTCACCTGTAATATACTCTAAGTAGAGTTTTCTAGGAGGTTTAAGATCTTTTCTACCTAGTACATCCTGTTTACCCATAGACTATCACTCAGTAAATATTTGATGGAAGAATAAATAAATAAATAAATAAATAAATAAATAAGAAGAGTAAGTTATAAATAGTGAAATAAAGAAAGAGAGGCAGAAAAAGAAACATATAGAGATGAAGAAGAGAATGAATAAATGTCTCCTCTTTTTTACTCCCAGCTATAAATAAATATACATATATAAAAATATATATATACACACATGCACATATGTTGTTCTGACTCTTGTAGACACAAGAGAAAAAGACCTCACTTAAGCCATTTTAATTTTCAATTGTTAATGTACTCCTAGGAAAACTTTTACTCATTTAGAGACATGCATTAATTGCCCCCAAGGAGGGAGAATGTAAATAATCTGACATTGTTGCTAATAAAAACTGGAAAGCATTGACCAATTTCAAAGAGTAATCACCTGTTTTCCTGTCAATAATTATTTGATACAAAATTTTCCTTCTTGATTTGAAGCTTCTTAAAAGCAGAAATTCTATCATACCCATATCTGAATTTTCATCATTTTACATAGTATCTGATGGATATGGTAGATATCCAATAAAATTGGATAGGAAAAATTAAACTTTGTGAAACTGCCTCTCCCTTTTGGAGTAACGGGAAATGAGAAATGATTCCAGTTGATGTAATCTAACAAGAGGCTGCATTCTATCTCTGTGTTCCACATACATGGATTCAACCAACCTCGAGTAAAACCAACCTGGATCGAAAATGTAGTTAGGTCTCCGATGGTTGAGTCTGCACATGGCTTTTCTTGTCATTATTCCCTAAACAATATAGTATAACAATGATTTACATAACATTTACATTGTATTAGGTCTTATAAGTAATCTAGAAATTATTTAAAGCACAGCAGGCCTTTGAGTAATGTAATTTCCTTCAGCATCATTTCATTATAATGTTGATGAGAAAAATAATAATTGCTTCCTGGCTAGCCCCACTTTCCGTGTACAGTGTACATTTTCCCCAAGTCTGCCTGGGTTTTCTCTGGGTACTCAAGTTTCTGCTCCAAAATGTGCACATTAGGATACTTGCCATATCTGAATGGTTGTACTGTGTTAGGGGAAGGTGTGTGAGTGTGGATGTGAGTGCTCCCTGCAGTGGAATAGTGTCTGGTCTAGGGTGGGTTTTCTCTTTGCTCCCTGAGCTGCCAGGACAGGCTCTGGCCAGCCAAGACTCTGAACTGAAATAAGCAGGTTGAAAAACGAATAAATGGATACAAATTATTGTCAAATAAAAATTTGTAAAGTAGATAATAACCATACAAATGTACAAAAATAAAAAAATGTGGCACAAAATCAGCAAGCTTGCCATATTTGTGGTTGTTTTTGAACTGTTTCGTGGGAAAAGGCGATCTTTTCAATTTTCACTCTGCAAGCATTGATTACTTGGTTTAACCCACCACCACTACAACTGCTGTTACTCACTGATTCACTCAAAATTGAGTAAACAAGTATCTTACTTTTTATTCCTCTTTCTTTCTTTTTTTCCTTTAAGACAGGGTCTTACTCTGTTGCCCAGGCTGGAGTACAGCAGCATGATCACAGCTCATTGCAGCCTTGACCTCCTGGGTTCAAGCAATCCTCCCACCTCAGCCTCTTGAGTAGCTAGGACTACAGGCATGTACCACCATGCTCAGTTATTTATTTATTTTTTTTTTTGTAGAGATGGAGTTTCACTATGTTGCCCAGGCTGGTAACAAATTCCTGGCCTCAAGCGATCCTCCTGCCTCAGCCCCCAGAGTGCTAGGATTACATGTATGACTCACTGAGCTGGACTGATCTTTCTTAAATGTGTGTTTAGTGATCATTTATTTCAGTGTTTAATACTGCTAGTGTTTTGGGTCTTTGTTTAGAAGCTTGGTGATGATCTTGTGACTAGAAATATGCTATAAGACCTTTACTCTTGTTTACATCAATTGGCCTATGGTGAAATTTGTTTTATATGCCATTTAACTTAAAGTCAGTTTCCAAGAACCTGTCAAAGTGAGGACTTACTGTATATTAGAGGATTTGTGTAGGCTATATGCAAATACTGAATCATTTTATATTAAGTAATTGAGCATTTTCAGATTTTGATATTCACAGGAGGTCCCGAAATGATTCCCCGACGGATACCAAGGGATGATTGTACAACTGAAATACATTCTGACAAAATGGTATATTTGTTAAAACTTCCCAAAGAAGGTTTGCAATGACTTCCAGTTTGGGATCAGTATTTACGCTTGAGACTGTATTATAACCCACACAATACACAAACACACATACACAGTGAGGTCAACCTGGATCAAGCTGATGTAATATTTTGATACAGTTGACCTCAACTATTCTCATGTGGACAGATTCTTGTACATCGAATCAGAACAGAATCTAGAGAAAAGATTCAGTTAAGTCTTGGTAAAAAAAAAAAAAAAAAAAAAAAAAAAAAAGAACTATTACAATGTTGGGCTTTTTATGATTATCACATTCAAAAAAATAGTTTCATGATAACAATTTTTAGATATTCTTGATACACTGGGATGGCCTAGTTATTTCTAACTCTGGTTCTTATCCTGGCTATCCACTATGGTAGTTATGGAATATTTTTGCTCAGATTCCCAAATAAGTTTGCTATACTTTAGGTTTATTCATACAGTTTACTTCAGTGTGAAAATGGTCCTGTTAGTAATAATAATTTGCATATTATTTTTGTCATAATATTAATAGCAATATTTATAATGGTATTTTGTAACATTTATAATGGTATAATAAATCTTTTATATGCATCATCATATTTGATTCCTACCATAAGCCTGTGATGTAAATAGTTCATTACAGGCAGTTAGCTTTTGATAAGGAAATGAGAGAGATTTGCCTAGTGTCTCACAGCTATTCACCCTTAGAGACTCCTAGTTTAATGATCATATAAATATAATGACTCAGTTGGCTTATACTCATACTTATAAAAAGCCTCAAAATAACCAAACCAGTGAGAAATTGTTCTGGCATAAAAAATATAACGTTGATAGAGGATATTATTTGTAACTGATGGAGACTTAGCTACTTATACCTGTTGAGGGTGTGTATGTGTGGGGGATCTTTTCTCAGATTTTTCAAACATTAACACCAAAACTATGTGAAAATCACATATTCTAACCTGTGAAATTTTTTTCCAATTCCTCTTTAGTTTGAAATGTCCCCAAAAGCAGTGGTATGCTTAGAATTTCTTGTTCTACTATATCACAGAGAATTCTAAATGCTTTATACTTCCAGTAGAAATTATTGGCTAAATTTTGATAAGAAAAATCTACCTTTCTATCACTTAAATATAATGGGAAGATGGCAATCATAGCACCAAAAATTGACCTTGGAAGAAAAGGTTTTGTCAGTAATAAGCTTTTGGAGCATAAGATCGGATGGAGTCTTTAGAATTAGCTGAGGGAAAACAGTTGCCTAGCTAATTGTCTGGACAAAACAAAGGCAGATAAAAGGTGCCCCAAATTATTTCCACAGTCACACCACAGGATGATCAAGGAAGCCATACAGAAGAGGCTTTTTCTCCTCACCAGGACGAAAAGTACACTTTTGTGGTGTACAGACCTTGAGTCATTCAAGCCATCACAGTTTTTCACAAGCACTAGTTTTGAAGCTGAAAGTGAAGGACAATACAATATAATTTACATATTCTTCTGGAAACTGCATTTGATGGAAGGTGACTGAATGAGCATTACCAAAGTAATGAGCACCATTCCCTATGAGTGTTCATGGTTATATAGAAGAATGAACCTCTTCTTATATGGGTGGATGCAAAAGTTTGTGTTTGTGTGTACGCAGACATAACTCAATCTTCTTGAGGCAAAGGCAAATATTTCCTACTGGTTTATCGTAGCTCATGAAGTTATATATTAGCATATGTACTTTTATTGGTTCAACATGACAGGGCTATTTGAATTATCAAAGAAAGAGCCAGAAGTATAATTAAATTAGAATTCATATCTAATATTCATGATACTGATGAAGACCAAAAGCTCTCCCACTTCCCTCATCTGACACAACTTCAACTTATGTTGTGCTTTTGAATTAGAAGTAACTGCATGAAAATCTCTAAGAACATTGAACTCCCTGTTTAAAATTACTAGTATTTGATGTCAAAAACCTTGAGTAATCTCCCCAAGCCTTGGTGCATGTAATTGTAAGAGTTAGACTTTGTAAGATGCTTGTTATCTACTTGTACTCATTTGGCCAAACTTCTCAATTGAGTCAAATGAAAGGATTTATTTGGCCCCTTTCTTATGGTAAGGAGAAGCTACAAAATGAGATCCAATGAAAAGAATGCCAAGAAAAAGCATACGTTACTCTCTACAGCCTTGAAAAACCTGATGTAAGACAACTACCCAAGGCCTGGAGTGGTCTGAGGAGGGTAGATGGTGGAGGGTTCTCCCAGATGAGAAATAACCATCATTCTAGGAAGAATATATATATATATGTTTATTTATATATTCTTTTATATATATTCATATATATATGCATATATATTTATACATATAAATGAATATTTTATATATAAAATGAATATATAAATGAAATATATATATGTGTGTATATATACATATATATATATATATATAATCAAAACACAGGAAAGCTAAAAAATGCCATTATCTACATACATAAAAGTTCCTAACATCATAGCTAGGTTCCTGGATTTAAGTGCATATATTTTTTCTTTTTCTTTCTTTCTTGAGGAGAAGTAAACGTGAAGTTACCCTGGACTGTAGTAGTTGGAGACAGTACTAGGGAAAATGACATTTTTTTGTCTACTTCAGTTTTTAATTATTCCCCAGATCCATTTTGTCTTTTCTCTCAGATGGGTATTCTCATGGAAGCAGTTCAATTTACAATAGAATCCTGAAACTTTTTAATACTGCCTTCTTGTAAAGGTTGCTTCTCAAAGTAAGAGATAGCTTTTAAATGTAGAACTTTGTTCTCAAAGCTGCTGAAACTTTTCTTGGAGTAAGTTACCACTTTTAAATTATCTTTCTTATAGGAAAAAAAAAGCTTTACTGATTGGAATTCGAAGACAGTAAAGAAAATTCAGAATATAAGTGAGTGTGTGCCTAATACTTGATCTTCTATTCCATGAATAGTGCTTTCATACTGAATTTGATTAAATAAGGGAAAATTTCTAGTTTTATTTGAGGCATGAATATACAGATTCCTTGATAGAGGGTGTGGCCTTCATTAGCAATATAATAAAATATTTCTTTCTGTCTGCTTTCCACACACGGTAGAATTGCGCTTCCCTACTCTTTCTTCTTTTCTACTTTTTTTTTTTTTTTTTTTTTTGAGACAGAGTCACACTCTGTTGCCCAGGCTGGAGTGCAGTGGAATGGTCATTGCTCACTACAGCCTAGACCTACCTGAGCTCAGGTGATCTCACCTTATTCTCCCACCTAGCTGGGACCACAGGTTCACACCACCATACCTAGCTAATTTTGTATTTTTTGTAGAGATGGGATTTCACCATGTTAGCCAGGCTGGTCTCAAACTCCTGGGCTCAAGAAACCTATGCACTTATGCCCCACAAATTGTTGGGATTACAGGCATGAACCACCATGCCCATCCTTCTCTACCCTTTCAAAGTTAGGTGTGCTATATTAATATGTTTTTATAAACATAATATGAGTGGAAACAATATGAATCATTTCTTGAAACTTTTGAATACAGTGTGTTACTTGCCATATATTCTTGTCCATTAGAAAATGATTATGAAAGCATCAGTCAAGGTGAACTTTTGTCACCCTGAGATCCTAAGTAACTACAATGAATTGAGCCCTTTTATCAACTGTTAACTCCAATGTAGGTTAAGGTCTGATGAATCTGTGTTAACAAGAAATTGTTTTGATTGTTTGGTTGGATTTTGTTATTGTTATTGTTTTTGTTACTAAAACAAAAACTGGTTTACCCTGACTGATTATAACAGAAAAGGATTTTAAAAACTTTATTCAGTTTTCTAGCCTCATGTTAAGTTGGTGGAGTTATTAAAAGTAATCTCTATAGTGTCAAATGTTTGCTTTGGACTTTCATCCATGATTAACAATAAACCATGTTACTGAGCTTTTATATTTTGCCTCTCCATACCACATAATGGAGACAGAAATGTATAGAAGACTACTATCTAGCATCAAATCCTCCTTCTTGGTGGGAAAAGCTTTGTTTCTGACTTCAGTCCTTCATGTTTGCACTTCCCTCTGCCTCAAATGTACTTATTCCAGGTCTTTTCATGGCTAGTTTTTCATCATAGATATTCATATGCCAACCCTTGAGAGATTTGTTAATCAACCTAACTAAAATAGACTATTCTGTTATTCTCTATCACTGTATTAGTCTGTTCGCACGTTGCTAATAAAGACATACCCCAGACTGGGTATTTATAAGGGAAAGGGTTTGGATTGACTCACAGTTCCTCATGGTTGGGGAGGCCTCACAATCATGGCAGAAGGTTAGTGAGGATCAAAGTCACATCTTACATGGTAGCAGGCAAGAGAGAGAGCATGTGCAGGGGAACTTCCCTTTATAAAACCATCAGATCTCATGAGACTTATCCACTACCACAAGAAGAGAATGGGAAAGACCCGCCCCCATGATTTTATTACCTCCCACCAGGTAATAAACCACTCTTTCACGACAGAGAGGAATTATGGGACTACAATTCGAGATTTGGGTGGGGACACAGCCAAACCATATCAATCATGTAACATCTTCTATTTTATTCACAACTCTTAAACCCCCTAAGATATTTTTATGCATATTTGCTTATCTGATTTACTAACTATAAGACTCCACTAGAATGGAGACCACATGATTGTAAAAATGTGGTCTGTTTGTTTCAACACTGTGCTCCAGCTAAATGAATTGTAACTTGTATAAAATAGATTGTGGGCTGGGCACGGTGGTTCACGCTTATAATCCTAACACTTTGGGAGGCCAAGGCTGGCAGATTGCTTGAGCCCAAGAGTTAGAGATCAACCTGGGCAACATAGTAAAACCCCATCTCTACAAGAAAAAAAAAACAAACAAAAAAACAAATACTAGCCAGATGTGGTGGTGCACACCTGTAGTCCAAGCTACTCAGGAGGTTGAGATGGGAGTATCACCTGAGCCCAGGAAGTGGAGTCTGAAGTGAACTGGGATCATGCCCCTGCACTCCAGCCTGGGCAACAGAGTGAGATGCAGTCTCAAAAATAAATAAACAAACAATAAATTCGGTTGTGATATCAATTTTTGTTTGAATGGATAACTAGAGACTTCTGTTTCCAACCAAACCAGAATAACAGGGAACAGACCCATTCTCACCCTTTAAAAAACTACAACAAATTGAACAAAGTGTTTGAAAGTGCAATTCCACTGGACAAAAGTCAGCATTGAATACTAAACCCTGAGGTTAGGGAAACAAATGAGGTAAGCCCTGTGATTGCCCCAGTTTACTGTTGGAGACAGTTTCCAGGCTGTATGGTAAGGAGGGAGACCTTAGGTGGGTCCCAGAGTCTCCCTGAGTGGAAGCAATAGAGGCTGGAGTCTGTTGTGGCCCATCCAGCTAGAGTTCATAGGACAGAGTACCAAAAGGAGTACACTGTGGAGTGAGAAAGCTCTTATGATCTGCAGAATTAGTCTTCATGTTAGTCTTCATCAGAGGACTAATCAGAGGATGAGGGAGAGGAAACTACCAGTACTGGGGAAATAACTACCTAAGAAAGCAAGAGGAACAATTCCAAAAGATCACAAGAAGCCAGAAATATTTTATGTTCCCACCAGTCAGAGAGGAAAAACTTCATAAGACATGAGCATCAGGTAGAATATGCAGCGGGGCATTGCCTCAGTAGTGGGGGAACATTAGCCTTAGACTAAGGCTTCTCTGGTCTTGCCTAACAAAGCTTGAATTCAAACAATTAGAAAGCTCAAAGTTCTTCCAAATAACTGTGTTCTAGAACAAACTCTAATAATCATATTTTGATCTGGCCAACATGGTGAAACCCCGTCTCTACTAAAAATACAAAAAAAAAAAAAAAATTATCCGAACATGGTGGCATGCACCTGTAATCCCAGCTACTTGGGAGGCTGAGGCGGGGGATTGCTTGAACCAGGGAGGTGGAGGTTGCAGTAAGCTGAGATTGCACCACTGCATTCCAGCCTGGGTGATAGAGTGAGACTCCATCTCAAAAAAAAAAAAAAAAAAAAATTCGGCATCCAATAACAAAATTAAAAATTGTTGACATACAACAAGAATTATCAGACATGCTTAGAAATAATAATTTATAACCCACAGTGACAGGGAAAGATAATTAACTACAACCAATTGAGAAATAATGGAGATGAAAGATTTAGTAGAGAAGAACATTAAACTATATAAATATGTTTTGTGTTTTCAAGAAAGAAGATGAAAACTTAAATAAGTTAAAGAGAGGAATGGAAGACTTAAAGATCCAAAATAATCTCCTGTAGATGAAAACTGTAATATTTGAGATTTAGCCAGGCGTTGTGGCTCATGCCTGTAATCCCAGCACTTTGGGAGGCCAAGGCAGGCAGATCACCTGAGGTCGGGAGTTCAAGACCAGCCTGACCAACATGGAGAAACCCTGTCTCTACTAAAAATACAAAATTAGCTGGGCGAGGTGGCACATACCTGTAATCCCAGCTACTCAGGAGTCTGAGGCAGGAGAATCCCTTGAACCCAGGAGGCGGAGGTTGCAGTGCGCGGAGATCTTGCCATTGCACTCCAGCCTGGGTGACAGACTCCGTCTCAAAAAACAAACAAACAAAAAATTGAGTTTTAAAATATGCACAATGAAATCAATAGCATATTTGTTAATACCACAGAAAAGATAAATGTATTTAAAGATTTAGCAATAGAAAATATCTAAAATGAAACAGAAAAAGACATGAAAAAGACAAGAGATTATCAGTGAGATGTAAGACAACATTAAGTAATAAGCTGCCTACTATGCATGTAAATTGCAGTCATCAAAAACACGGAATAGGGACAGGTAAATGATATGAAGAAATAATGTCTAAATTTTTTTAAATGTTGATAGAAATTATAAACTCAAAGATTCAGGAAGCTCATTAAAATCTAAGTAATATAAACCTGCAGAAAGCATCATTAAATTACTTAAAAAATGCAGAGAAAAAGAAAAAAAATCAAAACATCCTCAGTGTAAAAAGAACCATTATGTACAGAGGAACAGTAGCAGATAGAGTCGGAGTTTCACCATGTTTGCCAAGCTAGTCTCAAACTCCTGACCTCGTGATCCACCTGCCTCAGGATCCCAAAGTGTTGGGATTACGCTGCACCCAGCCTTTTTTTTTTTTTTAATAATGGAAGCAAGAAGACAATGGACCAAAACTTTTTCAGACACACAAAAGCTGAAAAAATTCATCACCAGCAGTTCCAAAGTATGTTAAAGGAGGTCCTTCAGCTAGAAGAAACATGATAACAGATGGAATCTATATGTATAGCTATGAATGAAGAACATAGGGAATTGTAATAATGATATGTCAGTAAATATCAATTCTTTTTCTTATTTTTAAGTCATCTTAAAAGGTCAATTGACTAAAGAGAAATAATATCAATATATTATTGGGTTCATAACAAATGTGGAAGTAAGGCATACGACTAAAGAAAAATAATATCAATATACTATTGGGTTCATAACAAATGTGGAAGTAAGACATATGACAATAATACACAAAGTCTGGAAGAGGGGAACTTGATAAATATTGTTGCATACTTACATTCTACATGAAATGGTATTATATTACTGGAAGGTAGGCTATAACTTAAAGGTATATACTGTAAATCCTACAGCAACCTTCCCCCCTAAAGAAAGAAAAGAATAGGCCTGATGCGGTGACTCACTCCTGTAATCCCAGCACTTTGGGAGGCCGAGGCGGGTGGATCACTTGAGGTCAAGCGTTCGAGACCAGCTTGGCCAACATGGTAAAACCCTGTCTCTACTAAAAATACAAAAATTAGCCGGGTTTGATGGCCTGTAATTTCAGCTACTTGGGTGGCTGAGGCACAAGAATTACTTGAACTCAGGAGGTAAAAGGTTGCCGTGAGCTGAGATAATGCCACTGCACTCCAGCCTGGGAGTATGTCAAAAAAAAAAAAAAAAAAAAAAAAAAAAAGAAGGAAGGAAGGAAGGAAACCACCAAATAAACCAATGAATGAGATGAAATGACATTTTAAAAATATTCAATCCTAACAAAAGTAGAAAAAGAAGTAAACAAAGGGTAGGTCAAACACATAAGCAGAAGTGGCTGGACAGCAGATTTCAATCCAGCTTTATCAGTAATTACAACAAACTCAAATGATCTAATCATTCCTAATTATCAGGTATTGTAATATTGTGTAAAAAAGTAAGACATAACTATACATTGATCAAAAGAAACTTTAAATAAAGGTGCACATAGGTTGAAAGTAAAAAGATGCAAAAAGAGATAGGCTGCTACTAGTAATCCAAAAAAAATTGATGTGGCTGAATCAATGCCAGATAAAGTAAATTTTGTTAAAAAAATTACTGGTGAAAAAGAAGGTCATTTCATAATGATTTCATAATGAGTATTTAATCCTCAACATATATGTGTCTAGTAACAGAGCTTCAAAACCAGGTAAAACTGATAAATCTACAATTACAGTGAAGGATTTTGATAATATAGTGATAGAAAATCATTTAAGAGTATAGAGACACTAAACCACATTACCCACCAACTTGTTGTAATTGACATTTATAGACTGCTTCACTTAACCACAGCGGAACATACATTATATTTAAGACCACAAGGAACATTTACCAAGTTATGCCATATTTTGGGTCACAAGGCAAATCTTAATAAATTTAACAGAAATCAATTCATACAAAGAGTGATCTCTGATCACAATGGAATTAATATGAGAAATCCATAACAGAAAGATAAATGGAAAATTCCCAAATATTTGGAAATTAAATAACACACTTATAAATAAACCATGGTATAAACAAGAGGCCAAATGAAAAACCAGGTTCTCTTCCTGGTTTATGAATTGACACCTTCTTGTTGCATTCTAACATGGCAAAGAGAGAGATTTTCTCTCTCACATCTCTTATTAAGAGGGCACTAATCCTACTTAAGAGGGCTCCACCCTCATGACCTAATTAACTCCCAAAGGCCCTTGTAGGAAAGAAAAAGTAGTATCTTTTCCCCCCTCATCACAAAGTTTATGGCTGAGGTCCTTATATCAAATAAAAGATTAACAAGATGAAAACATACAAATGTATTTAATACGTTTCAGGTGACATGGGATCCTTCAGAAATGAAGACCCAAATAGACGGAAATTTATGTATATTTATGCTTATATTTGATGAATGGTATACAGTCATATAGAAGAACAATTAGAGAAAATGGTAAGATTTAAAGGTAATAAATTGGAGAGAACTTAGTGAGGCCCATTTGTTCAGATTCTTCTTGGCATCTCTGTGTTTGCAAGGACAAGAATTTCTCTTTTTTCAGCGTATGGGGAGGGCCCTGCTGAAACAAAGGTTTTATGACCTTACTTTAGTAAGACTAGCTAGATTTTATGGCCAGTTTCAGGGGAGAAGGGAAGAGGAAAGCGAGAGTGACCTTTCTGCTTCTGTCATTTTCTTAAATGTCGAAGTGACATATTTTGGAATAGTTTTTCTTGAATCTCATCACCCCACTTCCAAATATCATAGCATTAGGGATTAGGGCTTCAACATATAAATTTGGGGGGACATAAAATAAGCACAGAGGTCTTTTTTAAATACCAATACCTTAGTGTTTGGTGACACTATTGGCTTCAAAGTAAGTCTTGGTGAGGAAGGAGTGTTTGCTATTAAACTTCCTTCCAAATATCCTGTTTGAGTCAAGATATCATACAATCAAGAAAGTGATTTCCCTTTCCTGTTGAGTCTTAGGACACATATATAAAGCAAGAATGCATATACAGTCATTCCTAGGTATTCATGGGGAATTGGTTCCAGGACCCCTCTGTGTATCAAAATCCATGATTGCTCAAATACCTTATATCAAATGGTGTAGTATTTGCATATAACTTATGCACATCCTTCATAAATCATCTCTACATAACTTATAATGCCTAATACAATGTAAATACTATGTAAATACTTGTTATATTGCTTTTTAAAATTTGTATTCTTTTTATTATTGCATCGTTATTTTTAAAAAATATTTTATGAATGTGGGACCATGGATACAGAGGGCTGACTGGGATGCATATAATAAACTTTTAAAAAGTGGCAAATGTTACATAACTATAGGTTTACAAAAACAAGATCAAACCAACTCTTTGTAAAAATAAATTTAAAAACACATCTTCAACACCGAAAGGATTGATTAAATCATTTATCTTCTTTAACTTGGTGGTCCACAAAGCCAGACACATAGTACAAATCAAGTATCTACTTTATTTATAAGACATTTGTAGCACTGATAGATCACTTACTATGTGTCAGGAGATATGGTAAGCACATAATAAATATTAATTCATTCCAGTCTTAACAATAATCCTACTGGGTACATATTAGTGTCCTGCTTTCAAGTGACATAGCAACCTGATTTCAAAGACATTTTTTTAAAATTAAAAATATAAAAAAAAAGAGAGAGAGACAAAGTGCACCCCCACCCCAATAAAAGACAAAGATGTATGACTTGTAGAGACTAATCACCCTATATAAGGAAAAATTAAAATTTGAACCTAGATCTATCTAAATTCCAAAGGCCAGTTTTTAACACTACATTTTACTGACAATTTTGCCAATTAGTGCTGCGAGGTGGTATGTACCCATTAGTTATATTTAAGTAACTGAAGGCTAAGATGACATGCTAGAGTCTTTTAAACATTTCACACATTAACATAAATAGAATTGATAAAGACCAGTCAAGAGTCTTTGTACATTCTACATATGTGTTGCCTTTTTTAATGTTTGACTCCTAAACATGAATAATTCTTTCAAACTAATTTTTATAGACTAATTGTATTCATCCAATTTACAAACTGTTTTGTAGTTTAATCTAGTAGCTGCTATATTACATACAATATGTTGATGCTATACTTTATAGAACAAAATAAAATCACTAATAGAAATAGTATTATATGCAAGTCTAATCTTAGTTAGTGGCACAGTGTTTTTTCCAATATTAATCATAGAAAATCTACCAGAGTTATGAAAAATGGTGATTTGAGAGGGATATTTGGAAAAATATAAAATGTAAGTTATTCTCTAAGTTCTTCTTTGCACCTTAAAATTTTGTAAAAATTCAATTTTTTCATATTAGTCCCATCAATTTTATTAAGATCTGTGTTTACTAAATAAGATTAAATTCTTGCCGTTCTTGGAAGAATTATTTTACCTGTGTTTTCTTTTGTGACATCTGCTGGCAATACCTGGTATTACACTGCACTATAACTCACCTTTATCTACCTTCTCCAACTGTCCAATACTTTTCCAGATAATAGCAATTTAATTCAACTTAAAGAATATAGTGAGTGTTCTGAACTAATGAAAAGGTATTTTAATATGAAACTGAATCATAGAAGCAGAAAATTTAGCCCTCTAGAGGCTGATAACTTATTTAGCATATTACACATGTATTTTAATTTCATTGCTTGGTACTAAAAGAGATGTATACTTTTTTTCTGAAAACTTTAAGCTCGTTTCAGGCAAAAATGTTATATATTATAATGCTTACGATGGACAATTGTCAACCAATCCCTCTAGTGACACTGTCCCACACAGATGTTCTCTACAATTTCATAGCTATGTGATTTAAAAGTGTACATTAAAGTAAAACTGTGCAGGTGTCAAGTCTAAATTCATGTTTAAAAATGAATGAACTGTACCTAAATTGCTATATACATCGGATCCATGGCTGTGAAGCAGAATGCATGAGCAAACTTTTTATATTACCAGGAATCCATTTATCTATAGTCCCATCAGTCAAATTCAGATACTTGTTGCCAGCTCCAAGCTTTATAGTCTGGAGCTGGTTTTTGAAATTGCTTTGTATTTCCATTTAACAGCCAGGGAAGCAGCATGTTAAAATTTTCCTCGGTCTCCTTGGATCCTATTTATAAAGCTAATTTGTCTCCCCAGACATTTTTTTTTTTTCTCTTTTAAATGCCAGTTCTAGGCTTCTAAACCATTAACCCCCCTTCTTTATCCCAAGCAAAATACTGTCACAGACAACGCCGTTGCAGGACAGTGATGATTCCGATGATGATATAGTTCTCCCAGGCAGGATACAAAACATTTCGTCTTCTGGCCGGAGATGGATTCACTGCCCTCCCTGCAGACACGCAGGCTCACACACGGAGCACTGGGAAGTACACATTTACTGTACTGCATGCCGACTGCCTTGAAGAAACTGTAGCTAACCACCTTATTAGTATTCTTGCCTCCACCGTGTCTCACTTGCAGCATCAGAGGGCTGAGCAAATGCAGTAGAACAGGGACAGACACAGCTCTGGCAATCATCTCAATGCAGGCTGCCGAATGTTGGGGGTGGGGGGATGCAGCACTTCGAGATTAATAACCTTGCCATAATCCGGGGCACCCTGCAAGCAGACACCTCTGCTGATTGACCTGCTACTGGCTTGATGCATCTGCCTGGGGGAGAGGGATCCGGAATCTACCTAGTCCTGGGGCCCCCCTGATTTTGGATGTTCATTTGATCCTTCACAGATCTGGGAAGGTAACAGCGAGCCGTACCATCTGCAGCACACAGCAGCTCTTGGAGGTTACTACTGACAGTTTTCATTACACTGGTTTGTGTGAGTGCGTGTGTTTGTGTGTGTTTGTGAGTGTGGGTGCCTGCTTTGCATGAAAGAGAATGTGTGAGTGTCCGTGTGTGTGTATGTGTTAGTGTGACAACCAAAGCAGGTATTTCGTACAGTAGGAGATTTCAACAACGTGACAATATTCTCTAGGCACTTGGGCTCACTGTCTGTAGCCCCCACCCCCCGCCTTTCGCCACCTCCTTGCTTCCCTACTCCCCCTTCTGCTTTTGCCTTTGATGAGTTTTTGGCTTACTTTTTGGCGGAGTCTCTTGGACACGTTTTTGCTGGTGCTGGAAGATCAGATACATGGAACCTTTGAAAACTGATTATTTTTCTCCGATATGACTTAAAAAAAAATAAAAAGAAGAAAAGAAAATAGAGTAGTGCACGGCAAGCTAGAGGATTGTAAATTTTCCTTGGTGAACTTTGAGGATCCATAAAGAAGGTAAGTCACGGGACTCCTCAGATCTCAGTTCTTGTTGTCTTGCAATGTTTGTGTTTTCCTGCTTGTTTTCGGAAATGTATATGCAGTTTATATGCTCATTTTTAGAGATTGGAATGCTCAGAAGAACTCAGTGTGTGGCATTTTGGGGCTATTTTTTATGCCAAGGAGGTTATTTCCATTTGTATAACCATCCCCCCATTCCTCTTACCATTTTTGTACCTCTCTTGTTTATCTAACATTTTCACAGGGAATTCTGAATATATGAAATATGGAAAAAAATAATTCCGCCTTTCTCCTGCCTTGCAATACTCTCTAAATTTGAGGAAAAACATTAATCAGAAAAGCGACTGGCAGAGGCTCTGAGTTAGAGGCAAAGTGTATCTGCTCAGAGACTGGGGGCTGGGGAGGTGGGGATGTAATCCGGACTTTCACGATAACTTAATAGTAGACTTCCCCCTCCCCATAGCTCTATTTTTTTCTTCTTGAATAGTTATATCTGCTCTAGAGAGTAGCGAATGCGTGGAATACAGAAAAGCTGCTTCACCAGCTCTTAATTGGAGCAAATGAGAACAAAGTGGAAATTGTTTAGTATTTTGAACCTCTCTCTTTTTGCACTGATTCTCTCGCTATTGCATCTCATTAACCTTTTGGAATGCAGTGTCCCCTGATTAAGACTAGTGTCGCTCATTTTGGAACATCCTCTTACCCTACATGGTCCCCCGAGAAGGGAATGTGCTTGAAAATTGCTCTTAATTGTCTATTCTTGGCTGTAAAAGCAAGTGGCATGAGGAATTCAGGTGACTTTAGTCAAACATCTTGCCTAACTCAGTCTCTTTAGTTTCCTGGTAGTTAACTGTGCCTTTCTTCACCCGCCCCCCTCCCCCCCACCACGCTTTTCCTTCAAAGTGAAACGCAGACAATATTTTACCTGTTTCAATCCCAAAGTTATTTAATTAAAGCAAAATATCATTTCATTGTGATAACGTCTGTGTTCCTGTGTCTTTTAGTATTTTTATCTCTGCATTGGCATCAATTAGCTTCACCCCAGGAGTAAGAATCACTTGTAAATAGGTTTCTAAAATGCTGAGACCTCACATGAAGGCAACAGAATCTTACTCTTCATCTGCCAGTGCATGTGGATGGTTTATCCTTAAGAGAATAGTGTTAGTTCATGGACTGTTAGCCAACTTGAACTGTTACTGTGGACACGTTCATGGAAGAGATGACAGGTGTGTTAACTAGGTAGAGAAGAGCATACCTAAGTGATTCTCTCCAGCTGTTGATGTCTATGTATAGAAAGAAGATGCAAATTGTAACATAATAGATTTATTCAGAGGCTACGTTGCCTGGGTCAAAGATTTATGAGAGCACCCAAGTTGAGAGATGTCAGGCATCATACTCAAAACGTTGATTATATATATATATTTGTTTTTAAAAAAAGGAGTTACAAAAAGAAAACAAGCAAACAAACAAACAAACAAAAAACTTAAAGAAGAGATTATACTCTGGTATTACCCTAGGCTATCCTAGCCTTTCATCTATCTAATATTTTTTGCATGATGATTTTAGAGAAGTAGGTAAAAGAGGACAACTGTGAGAAGCTGCCCCTCCTCCACCCCTGGAGCAACCTTGTACCTGGTACTCCAGGCAGAGCTCTTGGTAAAAATTACCATGGGAAGACTCCTGTCAGTATAATTTATAATATGTCTTTCATGTCAATGATTTATGATCATGATATTTTTATCTGTTACCCGTAATGTCCAGGTAAATTTTTCTTATCTAGAAAGGAGGTCTGTTGTTTTCTTTTTTTAATTTTTAAATGGCTTGAGCCTAGGAGAAACCCTAAACAAAATTTTATTTTCTTTATGGAAAAAACAATCTGAGGTTCATAAAACCTGAAAGTGAGAATAATATATGAATAAGAAACACGAAGTTTCTGTTGTAAGGAGAAGGATCCTGATACTCCAAGTGCCAATGGGTCATGGCAGGGTATTGGAGGCTCTCCAAGCTCTGCCTGGACAATCAGCATTCCTTAAGTTGGTCAGCCCTTTATTAACCTGTTTCTTTTGGCAACTAGTCCCAGGTATAGAGGACAGCATTTTAGGTCATCTATTTAGTGTTAGGACTGTTCTGAATAGAGAGAGGTCCTTTAAAAATGTCGTTCTGGAATTTGGCAAATTAGTACCTCTCTCCATTGAGGCTATTTAATGTTGACTGTTTTCCCATTCATATTCTCACCAAATACTGGTATATTTAGATGTGTGGTGTTGGTAAAAATTAATTGCATAGATTATTCTCAATACTACCTCAAAACAAAACAACAACAACAACAAAAGATACCAACTTGGTTTTTGTGTATTAAAGATTTAATAATTGTAATGAGTGAATCTTTTAGCGATAGCAACACTTTCATGATCACTTATTTTAGGCTAGTAATAGAAGTGGGGGCCAACTCAGGATTTTCTGATTACAGCTTATGAAATGTGCAAAGCATTTCTCCCATATCTCAAGGGTTCCTGATGGTGTTTGCACAACTGTAACTTTGCATCTGTATTTTCAGCTCAGGCCAGAGCAATGATAAACAGCTTTTGATCAGAACCAACTCCAGATCCATGCCTTTTTCAGTTTTATTTTGTGGTAGAGAGGGTTTTGACGTTTACCAGGGTTTGTTTCATTGCTTAGAGAATTCAGAAAAGAAAGGTAAATGGGGGTAGGGAGCTTTCCATTTCAGTAGGAGTAACTTGTCACAGCTGCTAAAGAAAAGGCTAAAGTTCCCTAGAAGCAACATATGCAGAGTTATATTTTTAAAAGAATGAATTGGTGAAGGGTTTCTCTGAGTTTATTGGGGAGAATAAAGGACATTCCGTTTCTTCTCCATTTGTCAGGCCTTTCTCTGGGACTCTGCTAAAGTCAGACAAGGAGGCCCAACATTCTCCAGTGTGTTTCTGTGTTTTTAAGACCCAGGGTACTTAACACATGAATAGCTCTTTCCCTCTGTAACAAACAGGGTTGACAGCTGGAAAGTCAGCTACTGAGAACCTTTAAAAAAAAAAAGCCAGGAACATCACCTAGTAAGAAGTTTAAGAGCAGAGAGGAGCTTTTGGAGCTCTGGCCCTGGAGGTGGGTAAGGATCAGGTGGATTGAACTTGAAATTTTGATTGCTGAGTCATTACAACAGCCTAGAGCTGTATGTTAGCTCAAAGAGCTGAGCTGATGCTGAAACTGTGGCTAATAAGAATAGGCTAAGAGCATCAGCCTACAACAGAAAATGAAGGATCTTGGAAGAAGAAGATACACTCTCTGATGACAAATGCTATTTGTATGTCCTTGGTACTGTTCTCCATCACTTCAGAACAACCTCTCAGGGACCCCAATAAATTACAAAATAAAAGATGGATTAATTGATGTGTGAATAGAGCAGGGGCTTTGCAATAAATTAAGCCAACTCACTCAATTATCTGCATCTCCATTTGGGACTACTCAGCAGTCACAGATAAAATGGGGAGTGGTGGAGGCTGGGGTTAAAATTAGAAGAAAAAAACCCTCTGGATTGAGAATCAGAAGATGTCAGTCAAACATTGCAAGTATTGCTTAATGGTTGGTAGGTCATTCAAAGTCTTGGAACCTTGATTTCTTCCTATATAATTTGGAAATAACTATTCTTAACTCATAGTGTTGTTGTGAAGGCTATGATGAAATATTGTAGAAAAAAGGATCTACAAATATACACTTATGTAGAAATGTAATGTGTTACAGTAATGATGACTTTATGTATTGTTCAAGACATAAAATGATTCCTCCAATATAATTTCAAGTTAAAGTGTTAAGCAGAACTGGTCTATTCTTAATGATTAGTGATTAACATTTATGTTGTTATAGTTTTGGCGTTTTCCAAATGTGTTGACTCTAACTCTTTTCAGTAATTTTTGTGGTACATTCTTAGTTACTTGTGAATATGTGTATGTGTCGTGTGTATGTACATGTGCATGCATACATGCATAAATTATTAGCCAATCTATATGAGGCATAATTTTAGTTTCATGAAAAATAGAAAATGTATAATGACCTGAACTCATTTTCTGGATATCCAGAAAATGTAAGAAAAACTTGACTTCCCCAGACTTGGACATACACAGACTACTAGCAAGTTTGCACTCACCAAATAACTCCAGTCCACAATGAGGCTGTTGATTAGAATTTGAGTTACACTTGGGAATTATATAAATAAAATATACATTTATAATAATAGCACAGCATACAGTGATTTTCACAGTGAGCTGCATTTGGTGGAGAGATAGACCAGAATTAAAAAGCTGACTTGGAAGTTATGACAGCAAGAGAATATGGTATTGAGAACAGGCTTTGTAGTTGAATAGAATGAGATCAGATACCTAATCTCATGAAGCCTTAGCTGTCTAATCTGTAAAATAGGGACAATCAGTTATAAGCAATTCTGTGATGAGTGAATGAATAATTTTATATAAAGCACTTAATAAAATCCTTGACACAAAATTGGACTTCTCTAGGTAGCTCACATATATTCTCTCATTCCTGTTCAACTAGTTTAAGAATAGGAAGACCATACTAATTCAGTGTATTTATATTTTTATACAGGGGGTAAAAATCCCAAAACTAATCTGAGTGCCAAATAAAATTGGAGACAGAAAGCTATATTCTGAAAGCTGTATTTCTGTAAATTAGCTCATTTCATGTACCATGGCTTCATCAGACCCTTTTCTGGAGCAGCCTAAGTACCCTTTTCAGATGTCATTTCACTTATACTCAGAACTTTCAAAATGATACCGAATATAAGGAGCAATAGTCACGTGCATCTTTCCATATGTGGTTGCAGAAACACAATTCAGATGTCAGCAAGAGGTGTTAATATTGCTCTTTATCTAAAATCTCATTTTGTTCACTGTTAATAAAAGGATGCATATTTATTAAGCACCTACCAGGAACAAGCGCTACAATCATTGCTGTGGGGAGTATTAGAAGGATTCTCTGCTCATAGCTATTTGCTGCAATTCCTGTATTTGGACAGGGAATGCTGCAGTCTTAAAGGCGGCCCCTTGGAATTTTGACTTGATAGTTAACAAGAATTAAGATTCCTCTGCCAGAATCTGACCTATGTGGGGCTGTGTCATTCTGTGTGACCTTTATTTTGTTCAAGAACATATCAGAAAAGATGTAAAAAGCCTTGTTCTTACTAATGTAGCTGAGCTGAGCTGTCAGTGATGAGTCCAATTCTGCTTTGCTAACTGCACGGCTGGTACCACTTGACCCAGGTATTTCGGTACTGCAAAGTCAGCCTTTCCCTGTGCATGGAGAGAACAGGGTTTTGTCCTTCAGGTTGTGGGTTCTTTTTATCCTTAAAATGAATGGATGAAGTCTGCTTTATGACTTTGTGAGAAGAAAGACAAGATCCATGCTCCCTGCATTTTAAAGCTTCATGCCATAAAATTTGATTCTAGGAGAGTTAGAAAGGAAAGAGGGATGTCAATTGGTCAAAACAGCAAACACAAGTTCATTGGCCTCTACCACAGCCTTAAGCATCAGAATTTGTGGTTGAAGCTTTGCATTGAACTAAGGAAATTCCTTTTGTGATATACTGCAAAATATATTACCAACACACACCAAGAAAATATAATGTTATAATCAATTATCTCATAGAGTCAGCAAAGGTATTCTATGTGCCAGGCACTGTGCTAGGTATGTTAGATTATTTATACTTCTCACATACAAACACACATACACACACACACACACATACACACAAAATAAGCAAGGTAACATTATTATTCCCATACTACAGATAAGGCAAACAAAGGATTTATTTGCCCCAAATTCTGACTCACTCCAAAGCCCATGTCTGTTCTTTTATGCCATGGTTTCTTTTATTTGTAGGATGTGAACCCAATGCTTCTTCACATAATTATAGACAGTCCAGAGCAAGCCTTCTGTAAATGCAAATCAAGTAATCACATTCCCATAATAGGGCCGACTCTATCAGTGGAAAGATGTGATGTTAGTATCTCTAAGGGGCCTCTGAAAGGTGCTTCTCTGAACCAATGGGTCCCTAATATAGTACATGATCAGTACCATATTTTTGTGGTCTTTGGCAGAATCCATAAGTTGAGGCAGATCTCTATTTAACTTTGACAGTTACTTAAATCTTATTAAAATGTCTGATGCCATGTGCATGATTGTACTGCAGTTACAGGACACAGAGGAAAGTAAAGAAATGAAAGTCTTCTCTGTAACACTAAATCTTAAGTGACATTAAGGAGCATTTGCAGAATTTACTTTATGGGTAGCATGTCCCAATATGTTATGTCTCATTAGTAACATACCTTTGGGAAGGTTACTTTTGTAGCTGTATTTCCATATCTTACCTTGTAGTGTTGTAAAAAGATTAAGAAAAATAATGCCCACAAAGTATCTAGAACAGAGATTAGAATTTAATTGGTACTCAGTAAAAGGTATCTCATTATTATAATAATTAAATTTACTTATAATCATTAGTAGTAATAGTAATTATGATAATAACTTAGCAGTTTCAGTTTGTATAAATGTTGTTGTACTCTGCAGTGCCAGAGACGATACAAATTATTACCAGCACATGAATAAACAGAGAAGCAAATATTCTTGTTTGTCTACTTATAAAAATATAAAACAGAGGAGGGAAATTATCTTTCAACATATTGATGTCAGTGGGGGACATGATGGAAAAAGAGTGACTGGTACAGAACATTCAAGGAGACCAGAGAAAGAAAGAGAACGAATTCAGAATTTCATAAACTGGGGAATTCTTTCTAAAGTCAGGTTCTAAAATGTGAGCCATTAAACTCATTGCTTGGCTGTAAACAAGAGAAAAGGTCATATTATGAAAGCTTTCTTGAAAAAGAGAGGAAATAGCAATCTTTCTTCCACTTAAAACTGTCAAGGAACAAAGAAAATTTTAACACCAACTTTTCTCTAATCCCTGTAAAAATCCTCTAGCTTTTTTACATAATGTAGATATTCAATTATATTTTATCTGTTTTTGATGTTCTAGCTGTTCCTTTACATATCTATTGAGCAAACACATTAGCATGTTGAATATTTGATAATAAGTTACTTAAAGATGAGAGATTTCAATTCCTTGTGTAAGTCCTTTCAATTTATACATTCATGCTTTAGGTAACAAGTCACAGAAACAAAGGCCAAGTAAGCACACAATGGTGCAGGGTGTACATTTTTTCAACCATATGATTGGAATTAAAACCTGTGACCATATATACCTTGACCCCAGTAGATACTCCAAATGGAAGAAGTAAAGAAAATAATCCATATAAGTTGAGACAAATGTTTGAATAACATAGTAAAAAATATGTGTGAAGTGAAAACATTTAGGAAAAAATCAATCTAATAAAGGCATACTCTTTCCTGAAAACAAGCAAATGATTAATAACACAGACAGTGGATGGGTTTGCTAATTTTTTGCTGTTGGAGACATCCACCATGCATAGTGACAGCAGTCTGAATACAGATACATACAAGGAAAAAACTCTACTCTCCCTTCTTCAAAAGGAAAGCCATGTTTATATGTGACTTTTGCTCAGGGTCATTTTCTCTACCAAGGTACCTGGACTACTATTAAGCATTAAACATATTATCAGTCAACCTGTTCTGATTCCAGTGCCCAAGTAAGAGCAGATATAAAAATAGTTTAAAATTTTTCTGAGTGTTCCCCTGGCTGCCAGCACTTTCATGAAATAGGTCTGTTTTGCTCATGAATACCTAACTTCTTCCTGTGTTCATCTGGTTGATGCTATTTCCTGTTTTCCCTTTCTTTATCCTTGACCTGTCATGCCTCACTGCCATGACTCTCCTGGATGTGTTTGTGCTGCTTCAAGTTTGATTTTCATCTCTTCCATCACTATAAGCACTGCTGCATTTTTTTTAAGCTTTTGCTAAATGGAATTCTGTTCTTCCTATCTAATACATATTTTTCTCCAAGACTAATTTGTCCAGCACCATATACATAAATACACATACACACACACACACACAAAATCTATATCTATATCTATATCTATGTATGTCTATGTGGGTGGGGGTGTTTAGTTTTTAAAATAACCCTATTCCTATTCCTGAACCTCAGAACGATGTCATGGATTTAGGTCAAGAACACTTTTGCATAAGTCAGTCAGAATTCTCAATGAATGTTCTTGTGGGTAACAGTACATTCTTTTGCTTCTGTAGTCATTTCGATGGTGTCATTTATTCAAAATTTGTTTATTAAACACCTACTAGACTCACTGTTCTATCACAGTTATGATGTGGAGCACAAAGTTGTAAACAATCCGATTTTTCCCTCAAATGTGTTCCTATATTATTGTTGACATTATATTGACAGAGGAGCAATTAACTTGCTAAACAAGGCAGCACAGGATTCAGAACCAAAAAATAATAAAGTCAGCACGTAAAACTCAGAGAAGAGAGTTATCCCTGAGGAATTTGTGGTTGGGAAAGATTAAAGAAGGAAGGGGAATTTGAGGTTTGTCTTAAATATGTATATTGTGAAGCAGTGATAATGTTTCCGAGGAGAAATTAGAAGAAATTATAACTTTGCATATATCAGTGCTAATAGAGTAAGGAAATACATCAAAAAGTATTTGGTAGGAAGGAATGAAGATATAGGTTGGAGCCCCGTAGAGAGCCTTGTAAAAACCCACAAAATTGACACAATAGCTGTCACACATTTAATTCTATGGTATTTCAGATGATATATTAAAAACTTTATAGTTGCATACAGGGGGCATCATTATTCTCAGGATACAGATGAGGAAACTGAGCCATAGACAACTTGTGATTTGCCCAAGATAAAAACTCATTAAAAGCAGTGTCTACCTGAATGTCTGCCTAGTTGCGTCTGTCTACAAAGCCCTGGTGCCTTTATTCCTCTCAGTTTGTGCATTAGCTTGCCTAACACTTAAAGCCAGAAACAGTTACTTTTTTCTATTACCTTTTAAATATTTCTGTGGTTGCTTGTATGAAAATATTTTCCACCTTTGCTATAACATTTTTTTAAATGTAAACAATTTTCCTGGACTCCTTTTTCTCTTTTACCAATTATTGCCAGAGAGCTTAGAAAACAGAGACACAGAGACTCACCTATTTAGTGTCCTCAGTTTCTCTTCTATTTTCTGGAAGGGGTGCCAGTGCCTTGTACAGATGGTCTGTCGGACAGACAGATGGTCCAAGCATCTCTAGTGTTATGTTCTAGAGGGAAACATGTCTAAGAACTGCCAGCTCAGAATGGAATGGCACTTAACACAACCATGAAGAGTTGACAAAAAGGCCACTCTCTGACCTTCTAGTATTCAGCCTAATTTTTTCTTTTTAGATTTTTAGTTTTCAGAGATGAGAGAGACAGTTTGTCTGCTTTGAGTAGAAGCCAGTTTCTATTTCTCTCAAGCTAGAGGGATGACAGTTTCACAATAATACATTTAGAAATTTGCCAGGTAGTTTCATAGGATGTTTATTTTTCTTGGCTTAGAATCTGGATCCAAGATAAGGGTCCAGGAAAGGCAAAAGGGAGACTATTTGAAGAGAGTCAGCTCTACTTCTGACCACATCTACTTAAAGAAGCGAAAAAGCTTTTTTTTTTTTTTTTTCCATCAAGAGGAAACTAACTGCTCAGACTGAATCTTTGGTCATTACTATCATCCCTGGGTAGGGGTCGGGGGAGGCCAGTAGAGAGTCACTTACCAGGTGCCTGTTTGAATAACACCTTGATCTTCTTCCCTGATGAGAGCAGAGATAGGAGGTTGAGAAACAGAGAAACAGCTAATTTGCTCTCCTGTCTGGGCCTGGGTATGGTTCCAGAAAAACCTGCCTTTCTATCTATTTTACTCACCCCTCACAGTAGTTAGTGATTTTCAGGGCCAGAATATAGGGACATTTTTTTTTGCTCCTTATGTCATCTTTTTTCCTACCCTTCTTACCCAGTGGAAGCCACAGAAGATACAAAATCAAGCTAGTATTAGGCAACACCTCCTATCTTTGACATTTATTCAGATTATTCTCTCGCCTGATGGCCTGCTAGAGTTTCTTGGTTTCTTGCTTCCTTCTTCCTGGGTTTTTACTTCAACTTCATATTTAGCTCCAACTTTTCCAACATCTGCCTAAGCCCCCAGGCCCACTTTCTGTTTTGACGATGTCTTCAAACCTTTTCAAATCTACATCCTTTGCTCTAGCCTCTGTTCTGTACACTTACACGGTTTTAAGTAGCCTAGGGCTTCAAATTAGAGGCAATGCTTCTGCTAGCTCCAGCCTTGCAATATTGGCTACCCTACTCCACAGCTTCCTTGCTAGAAGTGAAGAATAGAGACTACCTTTGCATAATTAACTCAAATCTTCCCAATCTGCAAACTCTGGTTATATATTTGACAACTATCTCATTTCTCTGTCATTAGATGTAAGTATCTTTTAAAAAGTACAATATTCTTATCTGTCAAATCAAGATCATGATAACAACTAGCTTGTATTCAGCACTTACTATGTGTTTAAAAGTTTACATTTATTATAAAAATATTTGATCTTTTCTCCAAAACAACTATGAAGTAGGTATTATACAAATTTTAAAGATGGTTAAATAAATGGCCAAAATTATATAGCAAATGTCAGGACAAATCAAATATCTATATTTAGAAATACTGTGAAATGTTGTCTTCTAAGTCATTTAAAAATATGTATAATACCTTTCTTCACAAGAGAATACATAGGGTTTCTGTGTTTGCATGTATAAGAATAAGATTTAAAGTTTAAAGCTCTATGTAGCTGGGCGCAGTGGCTCATGCCTGTAATCACAGCACTTTGGGAGGCGGAGGCACATGGATCACCTGAGGTCAGGAGTTAGAGACCAGCTTGGCAAACATGGTGAAACCCCATCTCTACCAAAACTACAAAAATTAGCCAGGCATGGTGGCAGGTGCCTGTAATCCCGGCTACTCAGGAGGCTGAGGCAGGAGAACTGCTTGAACCTGGGAGGTGGAGGTTACAGTGAGCAGAGATTATACCATTACACTCCAGCCTGGGCAGCAGAGTGAAACTCCATCTCAAAAAAAAAAAAAAAAAAAGCTCTATGTAAATGTTAATTGTTGCTAAGTTCTATCCTGAAATTATTTATTAATGACACCACATATATTTCTGTAGCCCACTGTAACAAATAGCTGATTAAGGGGTAATCATTTCTCAATTTTAAAGCAGAAATACTGTGGACACTGATGAAGTAAAGCTCCAAAAAAAAAAAAAAAAAAAACAGACGTGTGCAGCAGCCTCGTTTGTGTGTCTGGTGAAATACAGTAGAACCTTACTAAATTACACTAATGAGTTGGAGACCCATTACAAATTATCACATTTGCCCAATTAGTGAAGGGGCAACATAAAGGAAAAAGACTATTAAGCCAAGCTGATATAAAATTGTAAGCAACCCTTAAAGATGTTAAAAACATACCATATAAACAAACACCCACAAATGTACCTCTACAAAGGTGAGGCTGCTAAGATTATTATCAAACACACAAGTATTTGTACAATATATTTGTGTGGATTTTTTTTCTTCTGTTTCTTACAGGATAGAAGAATGAATGGCAGTTCATTGTAACTATTTTATGTTTTAACTGAATCAGGATTTGAGTGAATGTTGGAACATTTTTGTGTCGTAGATTGTGGTGCTATATTTAGTTAAATTGTATTATATACTTTCAGGGTTGTCTTACCATTGTAAGCACATTAATGGGTATTACGACCTTGGAATCTTGTCAGTTACGGTACTTTTACCTACTAAGTTGTTCTTCACATATTCTCAGAAGGTAGGACACTTGCTGATCAAATTATCTCAATGAACTTACTTTGGGGACAAAAATGAAAGGCAAAGTATCCACCAACTTCCATGGGATTCTAAATTCTCACCCTTTAGAACTTAAGATATCATAGTGTTTTTAAATAATTAAGATTGGATTATTTTTCATGGGGTTTTAATAGCTTCAAAATAGAGTTTAGTACAATTTGTAATTGGAAACTGGGAAATTTCTTAGTTACATATTTCATGTATTGATTCTATGCCCGTGATGAGGATGAACATAAATCTTATTTAATTCTTAGTATAAACATATGCAGGTAATATTATTATGTCTAGTTTACAGATGAGGAAAATGAGGCTTAGGAGAGCTTAAGTAACTTGCAAAGATAATACAGCTAATAATTGTTAGAGCTGGGACGTGAGAAGATGCAGTCCTGTTTTAAAGGAGCTTATACTCTACCAGACATATGGTCACATTCATAGCATGCTTTATGCTAAAAATGTGTCTTCCAAGCCCAGATCTTCTGCATAATTAAAACGATGGCCTACTCTGTCTGCTTCCTTTTCTCTATTTCTCCTGATTACTGTGTTTTGATCAGATGTTCAATATGACATCATTTTTGCTTTAGTTTTGTGATTTCAGAACTCCTTTGCTCTTTACTCTGTAAGGACTTTACTTGTTAAACTTAAAACAGATGGTCTTTTGGTGCACATGGTCTAGCAACAATGAACCACAGTCTCCTTGGTAAGGAAAGGGGCCACATGTGGCCTCAATTCTCTGAGATAAATAGAAAAATAAGGCCACAAATTCCACATATCCTGGTATGTGCATTCTTTTGCAATATGACACCCCATGAAAGTGTGGATTCTGTTCCTTTACCCCTAGAATCTGACTTTGTGGCTTACTTTGATGGAATGTGGAAGAAATAACATTACATAACCTACAAGGATAGGCCTTATAAAGCCTTGTAGCTTCCATATTCCTCCATTGGAGAACTGCCCTGGGACCACTGAGAAAGAAAACCCATCCAGCCTAGTGGAAGTCACATATAGGAAAACTGACCCACAACTCTCTCAGTCCCCTTCATTGCATGTCACTAACAGCCAGCACAAGCTGCCAGTGAGGCTAACTTGGGCCTTCCAGCCCAGCCTGTTCTCTAGCTGAATGCAGGTGCATGAGTGAGTAAAGGAAAAACAAGCAGAGCAATCACCCATCCAATGCAGAGGATGGTTAGATATGCATAACTTTTGTTTTAAGTCTCTCCGTATTGAGGTGGTTTATTACAGAGAATAGTTAACTCGAACAGGCTTATATATTACACAAGCATTACTCATTTCCTAGAATTTAAGCTGGGGCAGGAATAGATCTGTGAGTTTCAAGTTGTTGTCTACTGTGTTTTCTTGAAAAAGAGTAACCTGGTAGAGTGAATGGATATCTTTGCAACTGCAGAGCAGCTTTTATTAAATGTCTAGACTTTGCTAATTGGGAGCTTGACCTTCATTCACTTTCACTTGTTTTAACGTTATTATTGAGTCATTTTTTTATTCAACAAATAAATGTGTAGAACCTACTATGTGTCTGACACTGAATTTTATAAGTAATGTCATCTAAATGATTAACAGCTTCAACATAAAAAGGAAACACATTTTCCCCAAACATCTATGGCAGTAAGTTTTACATAACACGTACACACACACACACACACACACACATGCAGTCACTCATTCATACACACTGTGGATTCCCTCTTCCTGCTTGGATCTTCATTTGAAGAAAGAAAAAAAGTTCTTTTTTTGTTATAAAATAATTTGTATGTTTTATTCACACATTTATATTTAATTCCTCCAGTAACTCTTTAAGAAAGGTGTAATTATTGTTCACGTATTACAGATGGGAAGGCTGAAGATTAAAAGATTAAGTGATGGATTCAACATTATGCAACCAATAGGTAGGGAATTCAAGATTTAAATATGGGTCCTCTGATTTACCCTTCTGGGAACTTTTCATTGCACCATTCACTCTGCCTCCATACAAGACTGTGACGCCAGCCTCAGTGCCTTCTTCTTCTCCTTTCCTTTCCCTCTTCCATTTACTCCTTTTGTCTCCCAGTGACTCCCTTTTATAGCCTACTCCATCCCTTAAAAATCACTTGCTATCTCACGTGGGTGGGGGGGCATTCAGGTTGCCTCAGAATGTCCTTTGTGGGGCAACATGGATCTTGATATGCTTTTATGATCCCTTCATTCAGAATTAAAATGCGAGAGAAATAAGCTCTGGGGAGAAGGGATTTTCTCATGCACTCTTTATGAGATATTTCTTGAGAGATTACAGTGTTTTCATTATGCAGAATCTTCTGGAACATGGGAAGGAAGAGAGATGGTGAAGCGAAGGTTGCATGTTAAATCTTCCTTTCTTCTAGTTTTGAGGTACAGTTTACTGCCGGAGCTAAGGGGAAAAGAATAGAAATTAAGTTAGATGTCGGGCGTGGTGGCTCATGCCTGTAATCCCAGCAGTTTGGGAGGCCAAGGCAGGCGGATCACCTGAGGTTGGGAGTTGGAGACCAGCCTGGCCAACATGAAGAAACCCTGTCTCTACTAAAAATACAAAATTAGCCGGGCGTGGTGATGCATGCCTGTGATCCTAGCTATTCGGGAGGCTGAGGCAGGAGAATCACTTGAACCCGGGAGGTGGAGGTTGCAGTGAGCTGAGATCATGCTATTGCACTCCAGCCTGGGCAACAAGAGCGAAATTCCATCTCAAAAAAAAAAAAAATTAAGTTAGACTTCCTGTCCTGATACTAATATGACTCAATCTTATTTTCTCTCCACTTTTCTATACTTAATCATTGTATCTTCTAAAATCTCATTTCCCTACCCAATTTTGTACTCAAGCTTATTATGTAGCCAATGACTTTTTGCATAAACACTTCAGTTCATGCAGACCAACTATTAAACGCTCATTGAGATCTGTCACCTAGAAGCTTGCAAGACACATCTTTGTCTACTGTGGTTCAATGATTACTCTACTGGATGATGAAGGAGCCACCACATACAAGCTAATAGTCGTCCCTTGGTATCCATGAGGGATTGGTTCTAGCACCCACCCGTGAATACAAAAATCCATGGATGCTCACGTTCCTTATATAAAATGATTTAGTATGTTCATACAACATATACACATCCTTCCATACACTTAAATCATCTCAAGATTATTTATAAATTGTAATACAACAGAAATGCTATGTAGTTAGTTGTTATACTGTATTATTTAGGGAATACTGACAAGAAAAGAAGTCTGTATGAATTCAGTATAGACACAACTGTGCATATTTTTAAAATATTTTCCATCTGTGGTTGGCTGAATCCACTGGTTCAGAACCCACACATACAGAGAGCCAACTGTACTCATTATTATTACTTTTTTTCTCTTCAAACCACCATGTTTTATAGCTACTGGCTTGTCTGTTTTTATAAATATTTCAAAGCATTAGAGGTTCGGAAATTCCTTCGCATCTGTGGAATTTACCTGTGTTCCACTAATATCAGACTGCTCTGAGGCTACTCTTAGCTCTTCTGTGATGTTTCACATAGTGCCACATGTGCCCAAAATACATACTCAGGGAACAGAGGAAAAGGTAATATGAAATTGAGGCTCCCGGCTGGGCGCAGTGGCTCGCACCTGTAATCCCAGTACTTTGGGAGGCTGAGGCGGTGTGATCACCTGAGGTCAGGAATTCGAGACCAGCCTGGCCAACATGGTGAAACCCCATCTCTGCTAAAAAAAAAAAAAAAAAAAAATAGCTAGGTGTGGTGGTGGGCACCTGTAATCCCAGCTACTCAGGAGGCTGAGGCAGGACAATCACATGAACCTGGTAGGCGGATGTTGCAGTGAGCTGAGATTGCACCATTGCACTCCAGCCTGGGTGACAAGAGTGAAACTCAGAAGAAAAAAAGGAGAAGAAGAAGAAGAAAAGAAAGAGAGAAAAGAAAAGAAAAAGAAAGAAAGAAAAAAGAAAAAGGAGAGAGAGACTCCCTTTATTAAATTTGTTTCCTTATTTTATTTTACTTTTTGAGAGAAAGTCTTGCTCTCTTGCCCAGGATAGAGTGCAGTGGCATGATGAGGGCTCACTGTAGCCACAACTTCCCAGGCTCAAGGGATCCTCCTGCCTCATCTCCCCAAGTAGCTGGGGCTACAGGCATGCACCACCAGGCCCAGCTAAATTTTTTGGATTTCAGTAGAAATGGGGTTGCGCTGCGTTGCCCAGGCTTGTCTCTAACTCCTGAGCTCAAGTGATCCTCTTGCCTTAACCTGCCAAACTGCTGTGATTACAGGTGTGAGCCACTGTGCCTGTACAAAATTTGTTTCCTTCCGCTAATTTGTTTCTTCTAAGCCTTCGTTAATTCTTTTTGGGATTTGTCTTTCAAGTCAGTGTTAATATGATGAGGTTGGATTTGCACCTATGTTGAAGCAAAAAAAAAAAAAAAAAAAATGAAGCAAACATAAAAATAAATAAATAAATAAATAAATAACTAGAAGGGGTCTTGGACTAGAAATCAAAAGTATAAGCTCTACCATTTCATAGCAATACCCTTATGCTTTCTGAAATCAGCTTTTTCCTTTGTTAAATGAGAATCATACATGCCTCAAAAGCATTTTCTGCAATGCAGAACATTCTGCATACATAAGTCATTGTAATTGTTGGGCAGAAATTTGAAGATAGATGAACTATTTCAGATTATACAGATGAACTATGTCAGATTATACAGTATAAAAATCTAATGGCTGTTTTTATAGCAAGAAAGAAGCAACAGGCCGGGCGCGGTGGCTCACGCCTGTAATCCCAGCACTTTGGGAGGCAAAGGCGGGCGGATCACGAGGTCAGGAGATCGAGACCATCCTGGCTAACACAGTGAAACCCCGTCTCTACTAAAAATACAAAAAATTAGCTGGGCGTGGTGATGGGCGCCTGTAGTCCCAGCTACTCGGGAGGCTGAGGCAGGAGAATGGCGTGAACCCAGGAGGCGGAGCTTGCAGTGAGCCGAGATTGTGCCACTGCACTCCAGCCTGGGCGACAGAGCAAGACTCTGTCTCAAAAAAAAAAAAAAAAAAAAAAAAAAAAAGAAAAAAGCAACAAAGAGAGAGAACTGTGTCTTGAATTAAAATCATTTTTAAATGTTCCTATTTGTTGAAATTTGCCATTATTTTTTCATATTAATACTTAATGTAGGAAAAGATATGTTGATAAATGATATGTTTATATGTTTTTGGTAGCAATGTATATTGGAATAACACTTTTTTAGAAAGCAGTTTGACTTTGTATTATGGGTCATAGAATTTTTTATTTACTTGGATCCTGTTCTAGAAATTTATCCTAAGGAAATATGAAAAATGCAGTATGCACAAATATGCTAATAAAATTATTTATAAAGGTAAAAAATGGCATCAGCCTACATGTCAAACAAAAGAAACATATGAATAAATTAATTATGCATAATTATAAGGCAGCTTCAAAAATTTATGACCTGGAAGGTTTTGTATAATGACAACTATATAAAGAAAATATTAATGCATATGTAAATTTGAAGACTGAATAGTAATATACTGAAATACTAATGATGATTGCATTATTATAATTTTTTTAAACCTTCCTAAATTTATGTTTTATTTCTGAGGGCAGAAGATGTTTGGACCAGTTAATATAACTCTTGGCTATAAGTAATAGTAATTTGACTCAAGAAACCTAAATGAATTGGAGTTCATTTTTCTCATTTAACAGTAAGTCCAGAAATTGTAGGTCATAGTTCTGTGACTTAACAGTGTCAAGGGTGGGAGCCCTGTTGGCCTTTATTTCTTTGTTGCCAGATAATTGCTGAAGTTCTTGCCATCTTCTCTACATTCAAGGCAGAAGGAATGAAATAGAAGGAAGAGACATGCCAGTTACATCTATCTTTTTTTTTTTTTTTTAACTGGAAAAAAATAAATTTTCTCAGAGGCCCCCAGCTTAAGTCTCTGAATGAAGATTGAGTCAATTTGGGTATCTCTACTTAAAATGGAGGCTGAGAAAACATATGAGATGTGGAAAAAAAAAAAAGAGCGTTGAAAGTAACTTTGGGGTGGCTGATAAACCCTCTAGCCCACCATGATAAACCATGGCATGGGATCCTGGAAGATCTCCATATGCCTCATATCCAGAGGAAGTCCCTATTGTTCCTATCTCAGCCACCCTGACTGCTAATGATTCTGCTTTTCTACTTCCATTTTGCCTCTACCTTCCACCTTTGTCTGTCACACCAACACACACACAAAAAATAAACGCTAGGAGGGGAAGTGAGGGTGAGCCTCAGTTCCTCATTCTGGATTCTTGACTCTGCTTAAGACATTCAGATTCCCTTAGCATATTCAGTTATAGTCCTGGCAAAAACAAATACAGCTGATATAGGTCTAAATTTCTATGCAGCTCCAGTGTTGCATTTCTTTAGTCATGCATATTAAATAGTCCTTAAAAACAGAAGAAAGAGAGTGTTGTCTCTTCCCTCTCTCTACCCTTGAGAAGACTGGCTTGGCTCTTCATGACTCACTTATTATCTCAGCATTATTATAGTAATTGAGTTCTCTAGTACTGCTATAAAGATACTACCTGGGATTGGGTAATTTATAAAGAAAAGAAGTTTGATTGATTCACAGTTCCACATAGCTGCAGAGGCCTCAGGAAAAGTACAGTTATGGTAGAAGGCAAAAGGGAAGCAAGGACAATTTTACATGGTGGCAGGAGATAGAGAGCAAGAAGGAGGGAGCTCTGGACACTTATCAAACTACCAGATCTCGTGAGAACTCACTCACTGTCATGAGAACAGCAAGGGGGAAATCCGCCCCTATGATCCAGTCACCTCCCACCAGGTCCCTCCCGTGACACATGGGGATTACAATTTGAGATGAGATTTCGGTGGGGACATAGAACCAAACCATATCAGTCCAATAGATGGAATCTTTAAGCTGGAGACTGTTTTATTAGACTATACTTTTTTTTAAAAAAAACATATGTAGTGTGTTACTCTCCTCGTAACTGTCATTTGATTTGTGCTTTTTTTAAAAAAGCTTACATAGTTCTCTTGATGCTGAGAAAATTAAAAAGTAAAAATTAAAAGGAGACCATAGATAAAACCTATAAAATATATCTGGAATCTGTTTCTTTTTAAATTGTAACTGGCCCCAATTCACCATCATCATTAGATTATGCCATGTCAGTAATTTTTCTCCCCCTTTCACTCTAGTTTTCTTCTAACCTATTCTCTCTAGAGTGGACAGACAAACTCCTTTTTTCCAAAAATATTAATCATAGATAGCTATATGCAAAAAAATGAAACTGGACCCATGTCTCTCACCATATACAAAAATTATCTCAATATGAATTAAAGTCTCAAATATAAGACCTGAAACTACAAAATTCTTAAAAGAAAACCTAAAAAAAACTGAAAACAAACAAACAAACAAACAAGAACTCTTCTGGACATTGGCCTAGGCAAAGAATTTACGACTAAGGCTGCAAAAACAAAGGCCACAAAAATAAAACTAGACAAATTTGACTTAAACTAAAAATTTGCACAGGAAAAGAAATAACAGAGTAAACATACAACTTACTGAATGAGAGAAGTATTTGCAAACTATGCATCCAACAGAGGACTAATATCTAGAATCTACAAGGAACTCAAACAATTTAACAATTTAAAAAAACCTCATCAAAACAAAACCCATCAAAGCCATCAAAACCCTATTCCTTTCAGAGATGCTTTCTGCACCCATACTAACTAAACTGGGACTTTCCACACAGCCACCATCTCTGTGTTGTCTTCCATGAGTTGCCACAAAGTGGGCAAAAACATGAACAGATGTTTTTTAAAAGACATACAAGCTGCTAACAGACATATGAAAAAATGCTCAACATCAATGCAAATTAGTTATTGTAATAAAAATGAAAATAAATACCACAATGAAATACCATCTTCCACTAGTCAGAATGCTTATTATTAAAAAATAAAAAAAATTGGATGTTTGCAAGGATGTGGAAAGAAAGGAATGCTTATACAAATTGGTGGGAATGTAAATTAGTACAACCTCTGTGAAAAACAGTATGGAGATTTCTCAAAGAGCTAAAAATAGAACTACCATTTGATCCAGCAAGTCCACTATTAAATATCTACCCAAAGGAAAACAAATCCTTATATAAGATATCTGCAATTGTATGTATATTGCAGCATTATTCACAATAATAAAGTAATGGAATCAACCTAAATGTCCATCAATGGGTGGTAGGAGAAAGAAAATTTGGTATATATATACCATGGAATACTACTCAGCCATAAGAAAGAATAAAATCATGTTATTTGCAGCAACATGGATGCAGTTGGAGACCATTATCCTACGTGAAATGAATCAGGAATTTACAAGGGGGAGCTAAACAATGGATACTCATAGATATACAGAGTGGCATAATAGACATTGGAGACTCCAAAAGGGAGGACAGTCAGAGGAATTTAAGGGATGAAAAATTATCTGTTGGGTACAATGTACACTATTCAGGTTATGATTACAGACTTCACCACTACACAATATATCCATGTAACAAAATGGCACTCATATTCCCCAAATCTACAAAAATAAAAACAAATGAATCAGTTGCTAAAACAAAAAAAAATTTAAAAACACCTACCAATTTATCTAATGCATATTTTGCATTTAGAATCAAATCGGTTTCCTTACTTGTGATCCTCAGGTGTTCATTCAATATATATTAAATGAATGAATGAAGAAATAATGAGAAAAAGTATTTCTGTGTCTAAAAAGTGAATTATTAAAGGTTGGTGATAAGATTGGAAAAGCTGACGTGGAGCCAAAATTAAGACCTTCAGTGGTATGCTAATTGGTTTGACATTTACTTGTTTTACTCCATCTCATGTCATTCTCTCTTTATTCACAGTGCTTCAGCATCAATATTCTGAGAGGGGCTCCAGGGATAGTATACCCTGATACTGTTTTCATTGCAATTTCTTTCTCATCGTTTATATCCCAATTTCCTTTTACTCTTTCAGAGATGCTTTCTCTGCTCATACTAACTGAACTAGGACTTTCTACAAGGTCACCATCTCAGTGTTTTCTTCCATCTCAGCTTTTTGTTGGATTATTTTTGAAAATTTGTATTATTATATTTGTTAATTGTCTTGTATTTGGTAAGTCTACATCATTAGAATGTAAGACTTTTAAGAGCCGAGATCTTTTTCATCTAGTGTCTAGTCAGTTCCTGAACAATAATAGATTTACTATAGATACCTGTTTAATAAATAATGTTGATATGAAGACCACACAATAAAACAAATCTAGGCAACAAGTACAGTGTCTGCCACATGTTATTTGCATAAAAATTGTTGGTCTCTTTTTTTCTTCATCCATTTCCCCAGTGCTGTAAACTCCTCCAAGACAGACAGGTACCATATTGTAATTATTTTTTTTTATTATTTATTTATTTATTTATTTATTTATTTATTTGAGATGGAGTTTTGTTCTTGTCGCCCAGGCTGGAGTGTGACAGTGTGATCTCAGCTCACTGCAGCTTCCAGCTCACAGGTTCAAGTTATTCTCCTTCCTCAGCCTCCCACATGGCTGGAATTACAGGTGCCCACAACCACGCCCAGCTAATTTTTGTATTTTTAGTAGAGACGGGGTTTCACCATGTTAGCCAGGCTGGTCTCAAACTCCTGACCTCAGATGACCCATCTGCCTCATCTTTCCAAAGTGCTGGGATTACAGGCGTAAGCCAGGGCACCCAGCCCATATTGTAATTATCTTTTGCCCCCAGGTCCAACATACTCTTTAGCGCAAAAAAGTCAGGAGATTTTTATAGTTAACAAAAACAGAAGGAACAAAGATGTAATGAGTGAATAAGGAAAATCTTAACAAATACAAAGACATTGGAATGGGGCAGAAGCATTTTGGAAAACAAGGGTTAGAAAAATCAACAAAAGCCTGGGGATGAGTGTACAAAAAAGCTTGAAGGTTCTGTGAAGACATGAACTGTTCCTATCTTTGAAGCACTAAATCCACATTAAATCCTTGGTTTAGAGGAATGTTCCTGCAACTGGTGTGTGTGTGTGTGTGTGTGCGCGCGCGCGCGCGTTTGTGTGTGTGCGTGTGTGTCTTAATGAGCAAGAGAGAGGTTTTGTGGTTGGAAAAGAAGGCAGTGAAAGTTTGGAGATAATATTGGAAAAGGTAAATGATAGCAAGATTTCAGAGAGACTAGACTGTACAACTAACTACGTTGACACCATTCTTGTCAGCAATGGTTGACCTTTGAATATTTGTACTGTATTTTCAGAGGTGAATCAATTCAGGAAGCTGAAGTAGGGTGGGGAAGATAAGAGTTCATTGTCAGGTCCAATAAAATCTAATCTCTAATGATACCTGTTTCTAGAAGCACAGCTAGGGCTTGTATTTGGTGTTATGTTACATTTAGTAACAGTAATTTTCTTTGGTAAGATTGAAAAGTATTGAGTATTTTAGGGCAGAATGGAGATACTAACAAAAAGTTTGCAGGTCACATGGTTTTTTCATCTGTTCCTTTATCAGAGTTTGAGATTTATCACGTTTATTGGATTATCAAATCAAAACCCATTGTAGGAAAAATATTGGTGATTGTTTCTTTCCCCTTCTTAAATGTAGGGCATTGAAATCTCATTTCAGGATGTTAAAAGTACTAGTTTTAGGGACTCTTGAAAGATGAGAAGAGTTTTCCATTCAGCTTTTGAGAAACGTTGGTATAGGTCATTTGATGCTGTGTTGTGGTCTGCAAGGCAAAATGATTTAGAGAAGTGGCATTGTATAACCTGAATTCAACTGGACATGCTTTCAGAAGTAGAAGTGAATGTTGTGAAAGAGGCTCTCTGTGATGATTATGCCACATGTAAGATTTCTGTACATTATCAGACAGTGGAGGCTGGTCAGTCATTTCTATAAAAGGTTCTCTGGTTTTGCTAACTAATTTCATAGACATTATTGCCACTGTGGGACTTTGACAGGTCAAGAATTTGTGTAGCCTCTTTGAAATCAGTTTTCTTCCCTGGTCCTCCTTAGTCTTGACAGAAATTCCAGTTTTGTACTGAATGCCTGTCAAACAACAGGAAAACTAGGGATATTAAATGTATTATCAAAATATCTTGAGAAATAACATGGTCCTGCCACTCTTCTTTTAAAGGGTGTATGTTTATCTTAACAGAATTGTCATGAAATACATCTAATATATATTCAAAAAGCAAAGTATTACTAATTACTATGTATTCAGTGAAAAAACTGTTCCTGGGTCTTCTATATTTGGGAAATGTTTTTTTCGGAGACAGTCTTGCTTTGTCACCCAGCCTGAAGTGCAGTGGCACGATCTCAGCTCACTGCAACCTCCACCTCCTGGGTTCAAGCCATTCTCCTGCCTCAGCCTTCCCAGTAGCTGGGATTACAGGCGTCCATCACCACACCCAGCTAATTTTTATATTTTTAGTACAGACAAGGTTTCACCATATTGGCCAGGCTGGTCTCGAACTCCTGACCTCATGATCTGCCCACCTCAGCCACCCAAAGTGCTGGAATTATAGGTGTGAGCCACCACTCCCGGCCGGGAAATGTTTAGGCTATTTTCCTTTTACAGAGATATGTAAAAATTATTATTTGAAGAATTCAAGAAGTCTTGTGTTAAATAATCATGTTTAATTGTATTCAATTCAATGTTTTCTAAATGTACTTGAATATAGAACACTATTTTTATGGAACATCTGTTAACACTTTGCAAATTAATAGTGCTATATGAAACCCACTTGGGAAATGATGACCTACATAATAATTGTACTATGAATGGAAAAATATTTATTGACAAATAACCATGCGATTCTCATGTGAGCATGTGAAGATAATTTATTTTCTTATGACATAAGTTTCCGAGGAACATATAAGCTTTTGGTAACAAGTCATTTTAAATTATGTGTGTAAAGCACATAGTGGAATGCTTGTTCCTTAGTAGGTACTTAATAAATGTTAACCATTATTAAATTAGTAAATTCACATTGAGAAACCAACATCTTATTGTATCGGTATTGATCAACGGGTTCTCTTTAGTAATAGATTATGAGACCTTCTAGGGTCTAATAATTTTTGTCAAAGCACAAGAGGATTGCATTCCTGATTTGTATCTATCAATTATTTTTCATCTGTACTGATGTTTTCCGTAATAACAGTAGTTGTATCTCCACAAAATATTACTGGAATCACATTCTAATATTGTTCTAACATGAATGCTCTCTTGCACATACATCATATGGTATGCAATAATATCATCTTAGATTTATTTCATTATCTTCAATCCTGCAGCTCTGTATTACTCTTAGTGATTGTGATTGTAATAAAAGGAAGCATCAATATCCTATCTATGTAAAAATCCAGGAGTAAGGACCTTGTGGACTTTTAATTCTCACTCAGTCTTTCAGATGTTGGTTGCTTCCCTGACAAATGGGGCCATTCTCTTTATTGCTGAGGTTGGCTGAAAGTAGTCCCTGGCTTATAAAATGCAAGATAACTACATCCTTAACTGTAAAATGCATCCAGATACTGCTCCTTTCCCTCACACCTCAGCCTGAAAACAAAATAAAACAAAAAGCAGGCAAGAATAGAAAGAGTATTCTTAGCTGAGCCAGCATGATATAAATGCTGTATTACCAGCTGCTCACTGAGCCACAGCTGAACAGATCTGCAGACTTCAAGCTGCCCCACATCCTCCTCTTAATATTGATGGGAGAAAATCCCTGTGGACTTCCCAAGCAGGAAGTCTTGCTTACCGAAACTGACACTCTAAGAGAAAGGTGCACTTCTTGCTAGTCTTTGTAGTGTGAAAACTTCAGGACATAGATGGTAGGAGTATCCTTAGGCACATCGGAATAGTAGTGAATTCTTCTATTTGCAGACTTTGATGTGCACGAAGTCCTTCCCTGTATTTTGTATCATGGGATGTACGTCCTTCCCTGTATGTTGTATTATGGGGGCTTAAACAACCTGTGAAGATTATTTCGCAGATACAAAAATGAGGCTTATGGAAGCAAAGTGACTTGACCAAAGATTTTGACCATACATCATCAAAGTCTGAGGTTGTCCCAGATAAGCAAATAGAAGGTATTGAATACAATTTTCAAATTTTTTTGCTTTCTTAAAAAAAAAATTATCTGAAAAGTCTATTAAAAAAAGAGATTCCCAGATGTCTTTTTCTTCCCTTGACCCCACCAAGTATGAGGACTTTGCAGGTTTCAGAGTGAGAGGAAACCAAAGGATGTGGCAGTGCTTTCCAAATTTTTAATGTGTTTACAAATAAATTGGGAATCTGTGGAGGGGTCTGAAGATGTGCATTTCTAGGAAGATCTCAGGTGATGGTTGCCACTGCTGAATATCTATGGACCATGACTTGGGTAACTAGGTCTAACTGATTCTGATGGAAGTGGACTTGAATGCAGGAAAACTATGTTAAAGATCCCTCCATCTGACAATATTTAGTAAGTTCTATAATTGGAATCATGCTTGAATCGGGTTTGCCTTTAGACTGAGAAAGCTATCATAAATGTAAAATTATGGGTTAGTGGGAGCAACTTTTAAAAAAGAGAACAATAACTGTATTAGAGTGCTCTAGAGGGACAGAATTAATAAGATATATATTATATATATACGCATATATATGTATACACACACACACACACACACATATATATGGGAGTTTATTAATAAGTATTAACTCACAGGATCACAAGGTCCCACAATAGGCCGTCTGCAAGCTGAGGAGCAAGGAAGCCAGTCCGAGTCCCAAAGCTGAAGAACGAGTCCGATGTTTGAGGGCAGGAAACATCTAGCACGGGAGAAAGATATAAGCTGGGAGGCTAAGGCAGTCTAGCCTTTTCATGTTTTTCTGTCTGCTTTGTGTTAGCTGGCAGCTGATTAGATGGTGCCCACCCAGATTCAGGGTGGGTCTGCTTTCCCCAGCCCACTGACTCAAATGTTAATCTCCTTTAGCAACACCCTCACAGACACACCCTGGATCAATACTTTGCATCCTTCAATGCAATCAAGTTAAAACTCAGTATTAACCATCACACTATAGAAGCCCAATTTGGAATTCATGTTAGATTTCTTCTTTCAGGATCACTGGTTTTGATTTAAACATATCATGAAAATTGCATAGAGATCAAGAGGGGCAGAGTATGATTAAAATTATAGAGGGAAAGTGGAGTGTTATATATGCTTTGGTAGTGGTTATTTTTTTCTGAAAAACAAAAGCTAAAACTTATATTTTTGATAAGCAAATAATACCAGGACATAGATTTCACAACTAAATAATTTCATAAACTCGTGTTTCACATACTATTTTCTGAAAGTTTGTATTTGTTTCCTTCTTGGGCTATTGTGATTTTGGGCTATTACTTGGGGTCATCAAGGTGTTTTATTGAGGCATTGAGAGGAGAAGACACAGGGTGACCTTCTGTAGAATCCCTCCTTTTGCCATAGCCCAAACACCTTTGTCTCTATGCAACATTTTATCTTCTAAAACAATTGAGATATATACCTGATACCCCACTGTTGTCTCTAATTCAAAGTATCAAAGTTTCAGACAAAAGTGGGAAACTTCCTGCAGACTATAAAGTGCTTTGAGGGATATTTATGGAGACAGGGTTTATTATAGTACTTCTCCACCACAGGGGGGAAAAATGATGCCAGCCCTGATTTTGGTCTCATTACACCAGGATTTGATTTTAATGAAGGAAAATGATTTAATTATAAAATGTCTCTAGAGCACTGGCCATGATGACAGTATCCTATAGGGAGACTCCATGTCTGTGTGCCTGTGCATGTGTGTGTATGTTTGCTGTGCATTTCCTCTCTACATCTTTCCTTAATTTTTCTTTATTTTTCTACTATTTTCTCCACTTTGAGAATCATAAAATAGCCCCTAAACCACTTGTTTTTTGAGAACTTTGATACCTACAATATTCTTTTATTAATTAAAATCACATGATATCTAATGTTAATATAACCTAATGACACTGGCATCCTTTTTTCTACCCAGGAAAGCATTGCTTTAATCCTCCTCACCTAGATTTGTCAGCTTCTACTCTCATTCACTCCCAGACTTTGACTAACTGCTTCACACTCAAGTGGTAATGACTGATACAAGCTATTGTGTTACCTCTCCCACGGAAACCTGTATTTTAATGTACAAATAAAACGTTAAGCTAAAGTTTCCACTGCCTAATATGGCATTTCAAATATGATAAATTGGTGAGTCAAACTGAGTAAAGCAAGAATCCTGAAGCAATACCCATAGATGGGTAGGTACTTAATTTACCTTGTTTTGAATTTTTGTTTTGCTATTATTATCTACTGTCTCCTTTGTTTTCGTCTCAAATTTTCCAAGCTCTAAAAACAGCAAATTACTACCAATTATGCATAATGTACCACTTCAACCTAACTTTTCTCGCTGGTGACCACCCTTCTTGGCACATGGCCAATGGCCCCTCTAGCGGAAATGAATCCATTTTTGCAGTTCTTTTAGATGACATACTCCTAGACCTGACCACTAGATGTCTCTGTAACTACATGCTGGACAAAATCAGAGCGCATGGCCCACCACAAAAACCTAAGGTGGGCCATAAAGATTTATCCCTAAATCGCATATACCTATTGGCATTATAATGGAATGCTCTTAAATAAACATAAGGTAGTGCCACTAAGTAATGAGTTATTTGGTTATCTGCATGTGTTTATGTGTCTTAATATTGTCGGCGGTAGTTCTATCAGTCCTCAAGAGAAGCTCTGAATAAGAAATTTAACTGGGCATGTGTGTGCGTGTGTGTACGTGTACACACACACACACACACACTCTTAGAAATCTTGCTTCTTGCAGGTAGGAGAGACAAAATAACCAATAACCAATCTGAGAGCCCTATAGTCATATATGGAAACATGTATTTGGATGACTAGTTTATTTTTCAAAATAAAATATGATGACCAAGGGGGAAAATTGTCCAGAGCTCTCTGGATACAGTTGTTGATCACATTATACCTACATTGGTGGACCAGTCAGGCTCAGAATATGGCTCCTTCCTTCCTTCCTTCCTAAGGAAGGAAGATCTCTTTCTCCATCTCTTTTATTAAAAATTAACTTTCTCTCAGTAAGTGTCTGAGATTATGAGGCTCTTGAAATTTTTCCTAATGTATATTATGTTGGAGATTGTGACTGCAAGATTTTATTTTGGATCTTGGTTAATATTACTGTTTTAACCTTAGTGTTTCAATAGTACCTCATGTAATAGATTCTCAAGGAATGTTTTTAAAAGGTAAATGGATGAAGCAAATGGTGTTTATACAGTAGATACATGAAAATTCAGGTTAATGTACAATTAATATGAATAAATAATTAAATATGTGGATATACAAATAAATGTTTTTAGTCTTTGAAAAATAATACAATTTTTGCATTTAAGCTGATTGAGTAATTCAAATTTGTCTGACAATACACACTCTGATTAGTTGAGAGTAGTGCCACAACAATGCATTAAACTGTAAAAGATTTTGTGTATTACTTTATCTATCAGAATGTATTCCTCATGTAAATTCCATATATTATAGTGGTAGGGGAAAAAGTAAGATGAGAACAACTAGTAAGTAAGTGCCCTTAATGACCTACTCTCATGAGAAAATAAAGATATATATATATATACACAAAAATATAGGTACACTCAAAGTGTTTTACAATAACATATTTTTAAATTAACGTAGCATATCCTCACTGTAGTGATATTCTTTATAGTTATTTATGAACAAGTTATTTTCTCCAAAGGAACATAAAAACAAAATTGAGTTCTGTTCCTGTCCAGCTCAAATGATTATAGAGTCCACATGAGTAGAGGGGAATAAAACATTTCCTGTTTATCTGGTCTTTTATATTGATGATTTCCTATGCATTTGGTGAGCATCTCAGTATGTTGCCACAATCCCCTTTGAATTCCTGAAATATAGTCATTTCCTGAGGGCAAGTATAATAGTTGTCTAGGAACTGGCACAACAGTTTGAGTTCATTCTCTAGCTATCTGAGCATGTCCAAAAACTTAGAAAAGTCCATTACTTTCTTCATTTTCTTTCCCAGTATGAGGAAAAAACCTAAGGAGAAGCATAGTATTTTCAATTCTGGAGGCATAAAAATGGCTATAATAGCTGACAATTACCAATCACTTACAATGCATTGTAAATTATGAGGTAATGCATTAAAAATAGTTAGCATGTATTAAGTGCCTATTATATACCAGCTACATTCTTTGTTCTTCCCAATAATTAAGTCATTTACTCTTCAAAATCAACCCTAAAACTCTTATTGAAAATTGAGATACATAAAGATTAAAATCATGTTAGTACCCGTAGAACTGGAACTTGAAGCCAGGCAGCTTAGCTCTAGAGGTTGTACTCTATGTCCTGCACAGTTGCTTCCTAACATACACTTGAAATGTTTGTTGTGTATCGTTGGTGTGGTTTCTTTAACTGGCATGATTGATCCTCTCTAACCATTTATTACACAAGTACCATCATCTGCCTAACTTAGCCGGAATGCCATTATCTCATTTGGAAGCTTCCCCTTTCCTCCTATCTAACCTCTCCAGGGGATTTTCTTTTAATTTTATTTTCATTTTTATTTTTATTTTTTTGTTTTAAAGGTTGATTGAGTTTCAAACACCAGACGGCTAGAGAATGAGACTCTTCTTAATACACCACTGCAATTTCTTTGCCATTCTGCAGAGTATGTCTTTCATAGTCGGCCCTGCTTATTCACTGCAGTGGCCATGTTCTTGCTATTTGCCTCAGGAGCAAAAGTGATGCCCCAAGTTTAAGCACCAAGGTAACAAGCCAGGTTTTTCACATTCACATCCTCAGCCATTGTTCCCACAATGCAAAATTTTACCTGGGTTTCCAGACCTGCCTATAAACTGTGATAATAGCTGTCTTCTTCATCAAACCTATTGTAGTTCTGATTTCCCATTCCATAATGGTAAGTTGGCACACTTGCTTTCTTCTCTTTCTTTTAAACTCTGACAAGACTACTCAATCCCATGAAAAGTTTTCATAGTTTAAACCACCAAAGGATATGTTTGACATCAGTCCTGTATTAGTCCGTCCTCATGCTGCTAATAAAGACATACCCAATACTGGATAATTTATAAAGGAAAGAGGTTTAATTGACTCACAGTTCAGCATGGCTAGGGAGGCCTCAGGAAACTTACAATCATGGTGGAAGGGGAAACAAACAGGTCTTTCTTCACATGGTGGCTGCAAGGAGAAGTGCCAACCAAAAGAGGGAAAAGCCCCTTATACCTTATAAAACCATCAGATCTCATGAGAACTCATTCTCTATCAAGAGAACAGCATGAGGGTAACTGCCCCCAGATCAAATTACAACCCACTGGTTCCCTCCCATGATATGTGGGGATTACGGGAACTACAATTCAAGATGAGATTTGACTGGGGACACAGCCAAACCATATTCAGTCCTTTTTCTCTAAGAAGACTCATTGAACTCTGTGTAGATGTTTTACCTTCTCCCCAGAGGCCTTTATACCAAGGGTTGAAGTGATCTTTGCTTAGTCACATACATCTCCAGTTGTGGCCTTTTAGGGACTATTTAATTACATCTGTCTCCTCAATTAGACTACAAGCTAGTGTATTCAATGTCAAGATCAATATCTGGTTAAAATAGGTGATTAAATACTTGTGGGGAAAAGAAAGGAAGAGAGAAAAGGAGAGCGAAAAAGCACTGCCTCTAGTATGTTAGTTATACTCTTTCCCAGGAAAGAATCTAACCAGCAAAGGTGACAACATATGACAACCTATACAACGTATACCAACAATACCTACAAGCAGCCACTCAAACCTTTCTGTGACTTTTCATGAAACTCCAAGGTAATTTTTGTTCTAACAACAATAATAACTTCACCTTGCTGGGGATTTCATTATTGTTAGGCAGAAAGTTGAAACTCCACAAGGATATTAGTAAACATTTGAAACTTACATGACAAAAAAAATACGTTTTTTTGTCCATATGGGCCAGTGCATTCTTGAACATACTTAAATGCAGTAAATAGTACATTATCTACTTGGTTGTTTAAATAAGACTCTGAGAGTTAACCTTAATTACTTTTTTCTCACCTCCCACATCCACACCATTAGCTAATTCTCAGAGTTGACCTCAGAAATGAAAATTAGAAACATACTTAAAAATTCTCTGATGTCTTTCATGAGACTGGGAATAGAAACCAAATTCTTGAAAACTGCCTCCGGAGCCCTTCATAATCACATTACTTTATAATCAGCTACTCCTCTGCTCTCTTTCTCACCACTTTCTCACTCGTATCCATGTGAAGAGACCACCAAACAGGCTTTGTGTGAGCAGCAAGGCTGTTTATTTCACCTGGGTGCAGGCGGGCTGAGTCCAAAAAGAGAGTCAGCGAAGGGAGATAGGGGTGGGGTTGTTTTATAGGATTTGGGTAGGTAAAGGAAAATTACAGTCAAAGGGGGTTGTTCTCTGGCTGGCAGGGGTGGGGGTCACAAGGTGCTCAGTGGGGGAGCTTTTGAGCCAGGCTGAGCCAGGAGAAGGAATTTCACAAGGTAATGTCATCAGTTAAGGCAGGGACCAGCCATTTTCACTTCTTTTGTGGTGGAATCTCATCAGTAAGGCAGGAACAGGCCATTTAAATTTCATTTCTTTTGTGATTCTTCAGTTACTTCAGGCCATCTGGATGTATACTTGCAGGTCACAGGGGATATGATGGCTTAGCTTGGGCTCAGAGGCCGGACACTTTCCTTTTTAGCTCATGTATTTAAACAGCACCTGGCTTCCTACTGTTTCTAAAACATATCAAGCTTGTCATTGCCTTAAATCTTCACACTAGCTATTGCTTTTCCTGTCACTCAGCTCTTGGCTTAAATATCTCTTCTTCGTAGAACCCTAACTCAGCTTTCTAATCAACATTAGAAAATTAGTCATGCTCTATTACATAACACACATTCTCTGGAAAGCACATTTTATGGTCAGATTCTTTGTTGTTTATTTATTGACTTTTTATTGTCTATCTCTTGATGACAGAATCTAATTTCCAAAGAAGAAGGAATCTCATCTCTCTTCTTCACTACTGTATCTCCATGTCCTAAAAGAGTGTCAGGCAAAGAGTGGATACTTAAAAAATAAACCAGCAAACAAGAAGTAAAATAAAATCTCTACTAAATGAACAAATTAATAAACTTCCAGAACTCTAAGAACACTTTTCCCATCAAAACTAAAAATAAGACTCCCAATTTCAAATGCTTATAGAAAGGCATGTATATGTGCAATAGGTCATCACCTAAGTCATCATCTACCATAAATTCCTTCCCTCCCTGTACATCTATACCATTTCTCAACTAGAAAGATAAGATATATTTTCCTTCTCCCTGAAATTATCAAATTGGTTCTGTAAATTGCTTTGACTAAACAACTGCAGTAGAATTGATGTTCTGGGACTTTTAACTCAGTATTGAAGAAGACTGAATATTTCCACTTCTCTTTTGTGGTCACCAGCAGCCATGCTTATGGAAGCTTGTGCTAGTCTATTCAATGATTAGAGACCATGTGAAGAGAGGCCTGGGAAGTCAACAAGCTATGCTGAGTGTTCCAACCCCAGCAGTGTCTAGCTGACTCTAGTTATATGAGTAACTTCAGTCAATATAATGAGGAGCAAAGAACTGACAAGAAAGTCCTGACCAAGAGAACCTTGGAAAATTACTGCTGTTTTAAGCCACTAAGTTTCAGTGTGGTTTGCTATATATTAATAGAAAACTGAAACATTTAGCTAATACTAAACCATGGAACAGGAATATGTTAGGAAAATAGGCAGTGAGTCTGCTTGTTTTTAGAGGAACATAACTCTTGCCTAATCACAATGCCTTTGCAAACACAGCGTGGGCTGTACAAGCAACCAAAACACGAGCACAAGCTATACATTGCTGTCAGTTTGCTGCTGTGGTCCTAAAATATAAGACTACTTTGGGGACCATTTGCATGGTGATGTTTCAGCACAGAACTGAGCTGGCAGAAGGAATTCCAGGTGTGGTCAGCTCCAGAAATCAGCAAGGAGGTAATAACTGTTCTCAGTCGGAGTCCAGGATGCCAGATCATGGAAGCAGCCTGAGAAGTCCCAAGGGAACATGAGGCATCAAAAGCTATAGTTTATGTTAGAAGCTGTGGAACAAGTAAGAGAAAAGGAAGTCAATGTAGTTAAGTGGCAGAGATCTGGGAAGATGTCACTAGTGTGTTCTGCCTGGATTCTGCATAGTGCTGGCTTCATTCCGTGATTCCCATAACTGTCCTGAAGGGACCATCCAGATCTTGTCCCTTGTTCTGTACACATTTCCCAAAAGGTGGCCCCAGTTTCACAAACTGTGAAGTCACAAATCTATCAACGTATGGTTTAAAAGAACATTCAGTTTTAGAAGAGTGTTTTTGATTCACTGAGCTTTCTACAATATGTGACTGCATTATTTGAAGGCTTGAAAAGCTGGAGACTGGAAAAAAATTGGGCTCTATCTAAAAGGCAACCTATCCCTTACCCACGTGCTCACTCCCGATTCCACTCATGGAAACAGCTGCTTGAAACCCAGTTGCCATTCTTTCTAGATTGGCCTTGTACACTTGAGCACATCACCCCTCCCATAGCTCAGCTCCCCCATTTATAAAACCAGAGTAGAAATCCCTTCGTTATGATACTAGAATGTAAATTAAATAATTAGTAATTTGTTAAACACTTTGAAAATGAAAATGCTAAGTATTGCTATTATTTCAAGGGTAATTTATTTCTTCTGATTCATTTGTAATTATTTCATCAAAACACTGTTCAGTAAGAGCTGTTTGATGTGTAAAATGCCTTATGGGCCTTTCCTGTAAGACTTTTGTTATCGAAATTAGACGGAGGTCTTGCCAACTAGAACTCATTGGCAACCAAATGTTTACAATAGTATAAATGTCAAGTCACTTCTTTACTCAGCCAGAGGCCCTTTGGAAAACAAGGCCCAGAACGGTAATTCATCCCCGTATTTGTCTGTAATAGTCCCTTACCAGAAAATCAAGTAAGTACCAAAGAGAGGCCCAGGTAGCAACTGGGAAACCGACCAATTTGATTTTGGCCCTTCCCCTGCCCTTCACACCTCTCTGGGAACTCCTGCTTTCTCAGGTTCGGGTGCCTAAATCAGTCTTTCTGGTATTTACAGACAGCCTTATGTCATATCAGGAGATTAATTTGATGCACCGAGCCCCTTAATGAAATTAATCATGATGACTCCTGAACAATATATTTTCAAAGTACCCCTGGGAAAAGTGAGGATTTAATAGTTAACTTTTGATGGTCGTGAAACATAACCTGAAACAGCCAGTGAAAATGAGAAACCTTTTTGAAATCTAGACTTCAATCTTTAAAAAATCTTGTACATTTTAATTTTTCTCTGTACCAATCCTATTTCTTTCTGTATAAAATTAATGTTTAATACTATATTTGGCTACATTAATCATTTCATTCATTCTCAACATCATTTACTGGTTTTAGATACCTATTGTATTCAGCTACTATCTGTATAAATTTTCAAAAAAAAATACTTCAGAAGTATCTATATTCCTTGGGGAAGCATGACACTAAATATTACCAATCTAAAAGACTCTCAAGATAGCTTTTTGACCTTTCTTCAGGGTTTTCGATTGATTAAAATAAATGCGTATTATATTACTACCTGATTAACCTCTAAGCACATAAATTATACACATTTAAAACACAAATTGGTATCTTCTGTCAAATCTCGATTTGCTTTTGCTTTATCAATGTACTCCATCTTGGTACTTGGTAACTGGTCCAAACAAGCCACAAACCATGTCATCCTGAGCTCTGCCCTCACCCTCAACCCCCAATTTAGCCACTCAGTTGGCTGATTTTTTACCTTATTTTAAACTGATTTTTACCTTATTTTAAATCCTTCTATTTTTCATTCCTTAATGCCCTGTATTACTTGAGGTACTTCCAATTGTAAAACAGAGAACTCTCAACCCAAAGTGCTTTAAATGGTAATATAAACCTAGTGGTTCAAATAAATGAAAAATCTGAAGGTTGTGAGAATTTCCTGTGAGTTATGATACTGTGACTTGTTGATATTGTTAAAATCCCAGATTATTTATGTCTATCCTTTTCCCTTCCATGATTCTCTTTCATTTTCTGTTTGTTTCCCCTCTTAGCTATAAGATGGCCCACTTCAGCATCTAGGGCTACATGTTTATATGCTTCATCCTATCGGAATGGGATAGTTTCTTCTAGTAGCTCTCAATAAAATGAATACGTTTTCTTCATTTGAGAAATGAAGAATTGCTGATTGGCTTAATTCAGTGAGACTGTATTAGTCTGGTTTGACACTGCTGATAAAGATATACCAGAGACTGGGAAATTTACAAAAGAAAGAGGGTTTTTGGACTTACAGTTCCAGGTGGCTGGGGAGGCCTCACAATCATGCGTCCATGATTCAGTTACCTCCCACCAGGTCCCTCCTACAACACATAGGAATTCAAGATGAGATTTGGGTCGGGACAAAGCCAAACCATATCAGAGACCCTATCTGTGGCTGACATTGGCCACAGATGGACCTAGCCATCCTACTGTCCCTCCTAGCCTCTTTGAAAATATTATTTCCATAAAGGAGAAGGAATGGCAAAGCATGTCCTGACTCCCTGCCACTGTCTTAGTCTGGGCATTTGCTATGTCCTGTATGGACTGTTCTGAGATGTTTGAGAAGTATTTTGCTACTCAGTATCCAGTTCTCTTTTTCTTAATTGAAGTTACTGCTTCCATTTCTTTCTCAAACCATCTGTCGTCTATGATGTCTCCAGAATAATCTTTCTCAGACATCATTATTTTTATGTCACTTCTATAGTTAAAAACCATTAAATGACACCCCATCATCCACAAAGAGTGGCTTTTACAATGTGCTTTATATGTTCAACCAGAAAAGTCTTCTTTTATCTGCTTCAATACTTTTAGATATGGTTTTGTTTGAAGGAAAAGGTTAAGGATCAAGAAAAGTTTAAAAACCAGTGATCCACAGAATAAAGTTCAAGTTTTCTAGCGTGATGTACAGGAGCTACTATTACCTGGATTCTAACTACCTCTCTGAATTACCTCCCAACTACTCCTACCCACTCCATTTCTCATATGCCAGTGTTGGCCAATTACCCATGGGTCTCCAAATAATCCACACCCAGATTTCTGGCCCTCCACCAACCCTGTTAAATCTCCTTATAATATTTATGTTCATTCTTAAAAATTCATGTTAGTCATTGTGACCTGAAGCCCCAGTGTTTGTCACTATTACTGGGTATCATTACACTGTGTTGTACCTATTAACCGACATGTTGTCATTATTTGTATAATATTTGCATCTCTAGAATTTAGCATCTAAGAACTGCCAAGTGAAATTAAATAGAAATGAATGTATTTCCAATGATGAAACTAGCAGTATGGCATAGTGTAGAAAATGCTTTTTAAAAATCATTCACCCACTGGCATTTATTCTGCCAATGCTGCTAATTCAGTGCGTCTCTGCTGACAAATCATTTATTTGAGTTTCTGCTTTTTGTATTTCTTATTTCTTTATTAACTTATAAAGAAAAAGAAAAAAAATCTACTTGAGAAAGCTGTTTTAAGTATAAATTAAAATAATGTTGTGAAATTCTTTTTACATGAGTTGTATGTTGCTTAAGATGTTTTAGATGCAACTAACAGAAAACTGACTAAAAGTGCTTTAAAAATGAGAAATTATTATATTATATAATAAAACATCCTGGGGTGGAGTCGTTCTAGGGTTTGGTGTTTCAGTGGAACCAAGGTATCATGAAAGACTCAGGTCCTTCCATCTTTTTGCTCTGCCATTTTCAGCATTTTGACTTTTAATCCAGTGGGTGCTCTCATGACTGCAAAATAGTGGCAGTAATTCCAAGTATTATCTTAGCACACAATTATTTCCTCAAATCCATCTCTTTTGAAAAATGGGAAAGCCTTTGTTAGACCTGCCACTGGCAGATCTCCCTACAGGTCTTATGGGTAGCAACTGTCACAAGACCTTTTCTAAACCAAGTACTGACAAGGAGAAGGGATTGTCATAGTTGGTTCAGGCCAATCATGATTAGCCCAGGCTGGGGTCGGGAAGAGCTCAGCCCCCTGAGATGACAATGGTTATCAGATACTGAAAAAAAAATTAGAGTCCCATCACTGTGGAAAAGGCAGAACAATGACAATAGGCAGCAATTAATCACGACCTCTTCCTCCAACCCTTTAGTTATTACTCTAATCACTCCTATCTAGGAAAGAGAATACTCTACCTTCTCATGAATGCAGTTTTCTTCTACTGGTCCACCAAATTACTTACTGTTTATTTTATTATCTTCCTTTAAGTATCATTATGTGGCCATATGATTGGAATATGTATTTCAGGAAAAATACACAGCTAAAGATACAATCAGGGACAAAAGTCTCCTGCATAATGGACCACTTATCGGTCTCAATCTGCTCTGTCCTACACCCTCGAACTCCTTCCTGCTTAATTAAAACTGCAGGAGGAAACATGACTCCAAGTCAGTTTAGCTTCCCGGATCGACAATGATGCTGATTCCACATTCATAATTAATTCTCCCCAGTTTTAAGAATGAAGACTTGGCTGATTAAAGATTCTTGGTGGATTATTGCTGATGTTTGAATTGCTGAAACAATGGGCAGCCATGCAGTGTCTTTTTGATCTACGTAAACTTGGGATGTGGAAGAAGAAAAGAGGCATTTTTCTTTCCCCTCCAGAAATCTCACTTGACATTTAGCAAGAGACATTTGTTAGAATGTCAGTTTGATAAAACTGTTTGCAGAAGTCACCCAGCATTTGCTACTGAGCTATAACAATAGCACCATAATTACTCTGGGCAGTTTTAAGGAAAAAATGTTATCAGAAGGTTTGAGAAAAATAAATCCAAACAAGTAACCATGCTTCTCCCATATTCCTGTTGAATTAGTGTTTTCCTGACACACTCCCACTGAATCTGAACTCTGAATTGGTAGCAAAATTACCAACAGTTGCTATGGCAGATGGAAGTGTAGTAGTCCATATCAGAGGGGTAAGTAGTACAGCTGTAGAAATATCTCCAAATATAGAAGACATAAAGCCTATGGTTGGGATTTTCTATCTGGATGTCATTACATTAAGTAATAATAATAGCAAACAACTGTTTTTATTATGCTTACTGTGAATCATTAACCTAAGAGCTTTACATATAGAAATTCCTTTCAAAATTCTAATCCTGTAGAATGAAGACTATTAGTATCTCCATTTTACAGATGAGGGAACTGAGGCACAGAGAGGTAAAGAAACTTACCTGAAGTCATATTAGGATTTGAACTCTAAAATATTAATTCCAGAATATCATTCATAACTATTACATTATATTATCTTCTTATATATCCCAAACATTCATATACTTTATAGTGTGACTATGAGCAAGGAAATACCTTTTTCCTCATCTATTGAATAGTTGTAACAAAAAGGTGAATATTTATTGAGAGCCTATTATGTACCAGGCACTGTTTTGGTCATGTTACTGTTTTAGTTAATCCTCAATGTGACTTCAGACAGCAGGTGTAATTATTAACTCTTTAGAGAATCTCTTAATCTGGGAAACTAAGAAGATAAATGTTAAGTAACCAGCTTGTAATTAGTGGGGCCATGATTGAAAGCCAAGAAATCTGGCTCTGGATCCTGGATTTTAATGTATCTTCTCTCACTGAATAATGGTAAGAATAGCAAAATATATTTGTGAATTTTTCGTAGGACAAAAAGCACCAACGAAATTAAAAAGTGTTTATATTTTTGTTTGGGGAAGGAAAATATGCACTAGCAATGTATGCTTTGTTCTTTCTATTTTTCTTTCATTCATTAAAAGCCATTTTAAAAATCATTTTCCATGTGCAGCCTTTTATGGGGCACTGCGTGTAGAAAAGTAAAAATGGCATAGACCTTCTTCTTTAAAAGCCTTACATTTGAGGTGGAAAAAATGATTATGGAATCACACAACTTACAATATAGTGGATACCGAGTTCAACATCTATTATTTTTTCAGAAGTCTTCCTGTGAACTGCTTTTCCTCTATTTGTGGCATGGTGAGGAGGGGAAGGCTGTGTTGCCCCTGGATCTCTTTGGAGAAATGATGTAGACATTCATAAGAGGGTTCCTGTGGTGCACTTGGAAGGTTGTGAGAAAAAGTGCTTCATTATGATTTCAAGGTTCTATTATCCAAAAATGCCACCTCAAAAACTATCAAAGGCTGCTCTTCAGAAATTCAGTACTGCTCTGTACACAAAGCAGGATGTTCCCCGAGAAGAAAAAGCACTTCTCCCACCGCATCGAAGGCCTGCGGTATTACTGACCTCCCACATCTTTTATTGGAAGCTGAGGCCTTATAAGGTACAAAGGTGCTGCTTTAGTTTAGATTTTTCTCTTTGAATGATGGAGAGACTCATTTAGGGCATCTTAAGGCAGGGGAGTTTCATAGTATGGCAGGGATGGAGGCTCTGAAGCTTGAGTATCAGATGGCTTGAGTTTGAATCCTGGTTGCAATAAGCAGCAGCTCTGAAACCTTCATATGTGACTTTACCTCTGTGTTTCCATTTTTGCATGTGGTACATCAGTAAAATAACAGTGGTTTATGGAGAGTTTTGTGATGATTACAGGAGTTAATAAATACAGTATAAAGTACTAGAAGAATAATTAGGGCAGAGTAAGGGCTCAGTAAGTGGTAGCTTTTATTATTGTCATTAAAAACTTGAAACTCTTGGCATTAGTTACGGTCTCTGGGTTTCTCTCACCATTGTGACCTTTCTGATTTTCCCCATATATTTCTACTTGGCCATTTGTCTGGTGTCTTATAATCTCAGTATAGACATGGCCCCTCACAGTCTCAACCCTACCTGGAGTGTCCTTCTACTTCCAGCTTCCATTGCTAATTGCATCAATCTCTCGATGTTTCTTAGTCCAAATTCCTGAGAGACAAAATCTGCTGGCCAAATTCACTCTCTTGAGGAAGGACAGTTAGCCTATATTATAAGAGTCATTGTGGATTTGATACCTATGACTGTACAAATTGACTATATCATGGGTCAGGGTTATTTAGACCTGCTTGTTCATCAGGAGCTGTATGGGTCAGTGTCCCTTAGAAGGTAACATTTTGAGGCGCAACCTCTTAGTTACAAATATAGTCAAGTGGAAGGGTGGAGTTCAGGGACAGGAAGTTTGTATTTAGTAATGTTACACTGTAAATTTTTGTTCCATCTGTACTTTGCCTCTTTCTTAATTGCAACTTCTCAGTTTCAGCTTAAGACCAAGCCTGGTTCAACTTTGTATCTTCTGAACCAAGTATGATACAACACTGGGCATATTAGATATCTAAACATATTTTTACTAAACATTTTTGAAATGAATGAACACATACCAGCTTTCCTCTACTTTCACTTGTGAAGGTAATATTTAAAATTCATACACTACTTTCCACCTTAATTATTTCAACCATTGCATTCTAGACTCTGTATTATGACCTTAATTTATGCTATAGGACTTAGTTTTTCCAACGACCCAATCAATACAATTCATTGTCCCAATTTAACATATGAGCAAACTGAGCTTTAGAAAGTAATTTAGCTGGACCCCCGCTAAGCATGAAGCAGGGATTTAAATACATTTATTTTGTGTCAGAGCTCATGTTTTTCACATGTTATTATCATATGTTTGTGATAGTTCACGTTGTTGATGTTTCACCAACCCCCCTAGCTGGCGATATCTCTGAATATTTACTCTATCTTGTAACATGTTATCTGCCTTTCCATTTTTGTGTCATGGGCGCTTTTACAGGTTTTGCTTTCTGTTTAATATTACAGGCTTAAGTACAGAACATAGTGACCCTTCTAAACAGGAAGAAGGTTGTGAGAGACTCCGTTAATTCCTCGAGGAAATGCATTTATACCTGCACAAAATTTTACTTCCCTGCAACCATACCAGAGGCAATACTTGCTTCTATAGTGCACCTATTCCCCATCACCTTGTTTTAAGTGTAGGGGTAATATTTCTTGTGAATGGCTAATTTCACAAGAAGGACTGACTGGAAACAGTGGAATATTTTCTCATAGTTTTGAAAAAGTTTATATTTGTGTCTCAGGGTTAAACATATCGGATTTCAGATATGTCTATGTAAATCTGATAATTCTTGTAAAAGTCTATTGCTTAAAGTGGCAGTATTACATTTTTCAGCACAGGTTATGGCAGACATGAAGCTGGGATTAAGTAGAAAGGAATATTTGAGCTAGCCAAGTAATTTTCTAATAGAGTTTAAGAGCTATGATCCAGCATATGTGTGTGTGGGGGGGTCTATGTGTGTGTGTATATGTATATATATACACGTATATATTTGTATATATTTGTATATATACGTATATATATATGCACACACACACACACATACACCATATATATGGTGTTTGTTGAGAAAAGAAATATTAGCTAGGATAGCAACAGCAATGAATAGAAAAAAATAGGGATTAAAGCATAATATGTATAGTGTACAGAAAAATGAGCATCAGGGACACTTTTTTAGGCAAATAAAAATCTGTATCTAGTACTGACTTGCCTAGTATAGTTGTTATTTGATAGAAGAGCTAGATAATTGGAGATTAAGGGAGCTGGATGTTGGTAAAACTCAAACAATATATTCCATTTGAAAAAGCTGGAAACCTTTAAGGGCTGGGCTGATTAACTTTAGATCCTGGTCCTGAGGGCCTGTGCTAATTTGCTGATCTGCAGATTTGCATGATTGCTAGTCACAACTGAGAAAGTAAGTTTAGACCTATGCCAAACTCTTCCGTAGTGGTTTTTAGTAAGAAACTTGCTTTTTCAAGGGTCACTACATGTAATCTGAGGCATGGGATACATTGTCACGCAAAGCATTCAAGCACCTCTCTGCTTTTAGATCTAGGATTATAAAAGAAAAGTGATATTTTTGTTTACCACAGTCAACTTTTATTTAGGTCAACTAGTTTAAATCATGTTGTTGGTTCACTCTCAGGGCCCTATGGCTGATTCTTAGGTCACTTTAGCCATTGCTACAACTTCTCCTAGTATCCTGCAGTCATAATTCACTGTTTTTCATTTATATCCTATTTCCGGGCATTAAGTGTTGTCACTGAGTATATATCCTGTGATTGCTAGCATCGCAGTAACAGTCAATAGTATTGATGGCATTTCCTCACAATTTCCTAGATAATTGTGCTATTTTAATTAGAGTGTGGATAGGCCTATAAATGAGTTGCTAGACTTCTCAGTAAGGAGCATCTATTTCTATTTTAATTCACTACTGGTATTCTTTAAGGAAATGCCAAAATGCTTTCCATCTGGAATTAGGAATCCTTTATTTTCATTGGGGAAATGTGTGCTACTGGGAAACTCTTTAGTTTGGCTCATTACTCAGTTGCCACGCCACAAGAGATGGAAAACATCAGAAATGAAAACACCTCAAATGACACCAGGGGTATGTAGAGAATTTTCGAGTACTTTTGATGCGTTTTCACACATAGTATGTAAAAAGTCTCATAGCAGCGCTATGAAGTAGTTAGGTAGATATTATAATATTTACACTTTCTAAAATAAGAAAAGCAGTTAGACACATCATGGTTATGTATTCACTTTAGTAAAGTCCCTTGGTACATTAATTTCAGAGCCAGCTGCCCTGACTTGAAACCCATACTCCTTCCCTTGCACGCACTGTCCCCCAGCCATGAGATTCAGAAAAGAAAACATAGTAAAGTGTCCGTAACATGAAGTACAGGAAGAAAGATTTGCTTTGCTTTGTTTAGATCATGAGTTCTATATTAATGCTACATCAATACAGAAGCGGTTCAGTGATGGGAAAATCACAAAAGCTGAAGTCAGAAGGCCTGATGTTCCTTTCTTGGTTTTGCCAACCAAGTTTTAGGACTTTGTGCATTTACCCTTTTGACCTCAATTTCTTCATTGTACTATTAAGATTGATAATATGGTTTATAGTGATAGATGAACCACTCAACATAACAGTTTGTTGGAGTTCACTGTCAGAGAAGGTTCTTAAAAATAGCCTAGCTCCCATGTAAAACGGTGGGAAGTGTGAGTAGGGGTGGATGGAATTATTTGCCCCGGTTGTTCCATTTTTTCCTCTTCTCCTCTGAGATTCTGTATTATAGAGTACACATACTCACAAATCGGAGAAATGAAACAAATTAACAGCTTTATATGACTCTCTGAAAAATGGTAATACCGAGGGATATGATGCAGCTTCCTATCTCCTTCCCCAAACCTAGACCTGGAGCCCCAGATGATCAGAATCAGCCACCCAGTATCAAGCAAAGAAGCTCAAAGAGAGAGAGAGAGGAGAAACCTGGCAGAGTTCTCTGCTAACATCTACCACACCTGGACTTGGACAAGTCAGAAATAATCCTCCTTACCTCTGATTTACAGTGCACAGAAAGAGCTCAAAAGCAGTCTATATTCTCATTCCTCCTCTGATCCAAGAGTTAGCTTAATGAAATGAAAGTTTTCATTGAAACATATCCTATACATTATGAGGTTTAGAAGCATTCATAAAATCACAGAATATCAGTGTTGCAAACGAATTTAGATATCATCCATCTATTAGACATGGAACTCTTTACAACATCTCATAAAAATCCAACATCTAAAATGAATTAAAACGTTGCTGCTCTCTTAAACTGAGTACAGACTCGAGGCTTTTACCCATCCATGTTGGGGACACACAGTACTCTCAGAACATACTTTGAAAACCATGGATCTAATCCAAGCAGTTCATTTCACATAAAGAGACTGAAACCATAAATTAGATTAAATCATTTTCCCAAGTCACATAGTGAATTAGCGGTTAAACTTGAACAAGGACTTAAATTTTTACTCCTAATTCAGAATGCTTTCTAATTCAAAACACTACACCGCTTTGCTCAGTCATTCGGGGACTCCTCTTTGGAAATTAGTTTACTATGAAGAGGCAAACCTCAAACCTTCTGTCCATTCACTCCCTGGACTATCTATCTGTGTTTTCTGCTGATAACACCCGTCCATAACTACCTGGCACTTACAGGAAGTACTTGCCTACATAGGGTTTGTGGCTGGAGGAGAATTAGAGTGTGGGAAATTTACTTTTGGTTTAAATGCCTTAAATACTTCTAAACCCAACTCATTCTGATTCAAGTCCTGCTAGTTACTTATAGTTGTTTACTTATGAGCATCTTTTGCATTGAAAACAAGGCTAGAGAGTAATTTCCAGCAGATGCACTGTATGTGGAAAGAAGATTGTGTCTAAATAGGCTACTTTTTCAAGTTTTAATTGGCCTAATTACTTCATGTTTGTAAAGTGCTTTGAAGAGGAAAGGTGCTATATTAGTGTTGCCTGTTATTATTTTAGTTCCCCAAGCAGCATTTGCTGGTTCCTTAAATTGCCTCTCTTGAAGTGACCTAATAATCAAATTGCTGGGGAAGATTTCTTCTTTTTCTTTTTCTTTTTCTTTTTTTAGAGTACCATTATTCAAACCAAAGTTAGGAGACTAATGACGTATAGCACAATCTTTTATTTTGGCTAATTCTACTTTCCTATTATCTTTCTCGAGTTGAGGAAGAATTGAACCTTTACTCCCCACTTCTCTCCCAGGTTTTATCTTTTTAAGTGTTGAAGCCTGGTTTTTCCAGAGGCCATTCTCTGCCAGTAAAATGTTCTGTTCTGAACCTCTCCAAAAACCAGGACTCCTGGAGCAACTTGAAGAAAACATTACAGACTTTAATGGAAGACTAGAAAAAAAAAAGAGCCATTTTTACCTTTTAGCCCCACCTTTGCAATGGCAAGGGTGGGAGGAAGAGACTGCAAGAGAGAATCACAAGTTGTTGATGCTATTCGTGAATAAAAAATCCCAGAGGTATTTTCTGTCTTGTGACACCAGACTTTTTTCTCCACCTATAAAAGAGAGCTCTCTTTCACGTGTGGCATAGTAAAGAAATGGTTTAATTTTAAAGAAAACATTCTTGATTTCCAAATTAGATAAGAGAGGAGCTTGTTTGTAGGTTGTGGGGAGGAATCTTGCCTCTTCTTTTTTCTCAAATGCAATACAGTCAATTCAAATTCGGGAACATAGGAAGTAACACACTTATCAAGAGCTGTCAGGCATTGAGTGTGTCCTATGTTCCAAGCAATGTGCTAGGCATTATTTATACCATCCTTTCCGTTTTCACAACAACCTCAGGCTGCTTTTACAGGTGAGAATGTAGCAAGTCAGAGAAAATGAGCACTTGCCTAAATCACACAGGGTGGAAGTGAAAGTTAGAACAGAAACCCAGATGTGTCTGACTACAAAGCACTAAAGCAGGTTTCTTTGAAAGTAAGCCCTAAGCATGTTGTAAGCATTGCTAGGAGGCTCCAAGTTAGATATCTCATTTAGTGATTACCATAGCTCCGTTGTGATATTTGTAAGTTTCTCACAAATCTTGCTATAGGAAACAAGCCCAGAGTTGTCAAAAAACATTGTTTGAGTTACACATCTGTTAAGTGACAACACCTTGATTTAAACTCCAGCATCACGCAATTTTTGCTTTTTGACTTTTTCACAAATTTCAGGGGCAATTGTGCCTTACTTTTATGCCATAGATGTGTTTATTTCTGGACCAGTGTTAGTTACAGAAAACCAAAGGGTCACATTTCCAGCTAGACAATACACCAAGCTTTCCAAGAAGGACTCAATGGCTGAAACATGGATGGACAAGTTATCTGGCTTATTGATTAAATTGCCAAACATTTCTAAACTCAGATTCTTCTGAGGTTAATGTCAGAGAGTTATGTATGGTCATATTGTTTTCTTGGTATTGTCTTTTGCAATAATGATAATTTTAATCACAACAACAATAGCTAACTTTGAACAAGTGTTTATCATGTGTCATTCCAACCACTTTTCATTCCAACCACTTTTCATTAATTAACTAATCCTTAGACCAACTCCCATAATTGGTATTACCATTAACCCTACTTTACAAAAAAGTAAAACCACATGGTGGTTTCAGTGAGTGGAAGGATAATTGAATCTAAGCCTAAAATGGAATCTTTGCAGAATCCATTCTTTGTGGAAGAAAAAATCTTTTGAGAATGTTGAGACTTTTTCCATTCCTTGTATGAACAGTTGTACTTCATAATTCGGGGTTCTCTAGTAAATCAAACCATCCTCATTCTCTACATTCTGTAACTTTCCTGCTCTAATCAATTTGTTAAAGCTCAACAGCAATGGAAGTAAAAAAGAAAAAAAAGAAGAAAAGAAAAAAAAGTAAGAAAAATAAACATGCCAATCAGAACAATAAATTTGAAAAAGAAAAGAAAATTAGGATAGAAATAGAGCAACAGCAACATTTGAAGGACAAAATTAACAAATGAGAGAGGGGCTGGAATGAAGGGAGGAAAAGGCTGTTAGGGGCAGATTGTGCAGATCTGAGCAGAATCTCATGTCTCTTTGAGAGTTCATTCCTTTTTGAGAATTAGTGGCCTGAACCACATTCTCATTTCCAGTCTCTCTCTGTCTGAGTTTCTGCTGTATTTTGTATCATCATGGAAGTTAAGGGCTCCTAGTACACAGACTGAGTTCTAAAAACTAAATAGCCCCATATTACCCTGTCTCAAGTCCTGGCTCAGGAGAATTTTGTAGCTTGGGTTGTTTAATGATACAGGTAAGTGGGTCACATGCCTTTTGTTGATTTGTAGGCAAGTTGCAAAGTGCAATTAACAGATTAATGAACAGACGAAAGATGTGATACTTTTATTTAACTGGTCTTAATCACCCTCCATTTCAGGGCAGCAAATAATTCTAATAAAATAGTGTACTAATATATAGTAGAGTATATCTTCACTTAACATTGTCAATAGGTTCATGGAAACTTCAAGTAAAACGATGTTTAATGAGATTAATTGTACCATAAGTTAATTGATAAAAGTTAAGTTTCTATGGCATATTTCTGCTCATAAAAACATCACCTAATCTCTAAAGACCCCAAACATATTTTTATTAAGCATTAAAATAAATGTGATTGTTACATACATTTAGGAAAGATTCATAAAAACAAGTAAGGTAATTATTTGCCCAGTTTTTTGATGAATCAGTGAGTGACGGGGGTCATAGTGCTGGTGGGTTAAATCAAGAAATAAATGTTTACAAAGTGAAAATTGTAAGGAGCACCTCCTACTACCAAGCAGTTCAAAAACAAGCTGTCACAAATATGGCAGGCTCCTTGAGCGCTATCATGCCACACGTATCCATTACTGTCATGTACCTGTATGATTATCATCTAATTTGCCAATTTTTATTTTTACAAATATTTGTATTTGTACACTTATTTTCCAACTTGTTAATTCCAGTTCAGTGTCTTGGGTGGCTGGAGCCTGTCCTGGCAGTTCACAACACAAGGCTGGTACTGACCCTGGGCAGGACTCCATTGCATCACAAGGTGCACCCACATACACCCACACTTACAGAATCTGGGGCAATTTAGACCCACAAATTTACCTAACACGCATCTCTTTGGGATGTGGGAGGAAACAGAAGTTCTGGGAGAAAACCCATGCAGACAGCAGGAGAACGTGCAAACTTCACACAGACAGTGGCCCTGGCCTGCAATCAATTCTTTTTCTTATCAACTTTATAAAGAAAGGATGTTGAGAAAAACAATGTTATTTGAGGACCTGCTGTATTTCATTGAAAAGTTTTATGTAAATGAGGTTTCAGAATAGAATCTTGTTTTCACATGGATTTATCTGAAGTACAATTTTTCTCTTTTTTATTCCTAAAGTTATGTTCTATTTTCCAAGTTGATCTCCATTGGTTTTGTCTCTTACCTACTTTATCCAATAGGGTACCAACCAAGGCTGGGCGCGGTGGCTCAAGCCTGTAATCCCAGCACTTTGGGAGGCGGAGGTGGGCGGATCACAAGGTCAGGAGATCAAGACCATCCTGGCTAACACGGTGAAACCCCGTCTCCACTAAAAATACAAAAAATTAGCTGGGCGTGGTGGTGGGCACCTGTAGTCCCAGCTGCTCGGGAGGCTGAGGCAGGAGAATGGCATGAACCTGGGAGGCAGAGCTTGCAATGAGCCGAGATGGCGCCACTGCACTCCAGCCTGGGCGACAGAGCAAGACTCCATCTCAAAAAAAAAAAAAAAAAAAAAAAATAGGGTACCAACCAAGTGTTTCTCATCTAAAAGCAAGTGCATAAACCTTCCAATGCGGAAACCATCTAGATAAAGATCTCTGGTCTTTTGACACAGGTGGCTGACAATTGGTGATCTCTGCCTCCTATAGGATTCATGATGGGATCCTACAGGATCCTCACATTATGTCTCTCCTTTGATGATGCTAAGATTTATCAATTGATTTAGATGGCTCTCAGGCAGGTCCCTCTTTAAAAAGGTCCCATCAGCAATTCACCTAATGGATTTTAGGTGATTATTGTCTAATAAAGGATTATTGTCTGGATCCTTTATTTATTTTGAGGTTGATAATGTGATGATATTCTAATTCTATTAATCATTTAGCATTGATTAACGGGTGTTGTTCCATAAAAATAACTTTCTCGGCCAGGCGCGGTGGCTCATGCCTATAATCCCATCATTTTGGGAGGCCGAAGCGGGTGGATCACGAGGTCAGGAGATGGAGACCATCCTGGCTAACACGGTGAAACACCGTCTCTACTAAAAATACAAAAAATTAGCTGGGCGTGATGGCGGGCGCCTGTAGTCCCAGCTACTCGGGAGGCTGAGGCAGGAGAATGGCGTGAACCCAGAAGGTGGAGCTTGCAGTGAGCTGAGATCCGAATGGCGTAAACCCGGGAGCGGAGATAGCGCCACTGCACTCCAGCCTGGGTGACAGAGCGAAACAACGTCTCGAAAAAAAAAAAAGAAAAAAAAAAAAACTTTCTCACTAAGAAAAAAACATTCTTTGGAATCTTTTGAAAGGGATTAAGAGAAACATACTTCTACTCATTTCGTTGATAAGGAAAACTAGGTGCCAAAATGATTTCAGAAGAAATGTGATGAGCTGCTGAAGGCCATGAAGTTATCTACCCTGTGATCTGAACAAGAATTCTGCTTCATCAATAACAGTATTGTTATAATCAGTAAGAGCTCACCCTAGACTGGATCTGGCATCTCCAGCCCGACTGTCTACTGGGTCCAAGCCGGTGCAGAATAAATAAAGCAGGGCTATGCAACACAGTGGATGGGATGAGGCCTGGGGCCTACATAGGCCCCTTGTGAAAGGATTTCAGTTTTCAAACTTTAAAACACTATTGGGCAAAAATATACATGCATCTTCTGAGCAGATTATTGAGACTATTTTCTTACACGGTACAAATGCACATATTTCTCTCATTAGGATGATGGAAATAAAAAAACATTAATATTAATGGCTAAAAAACACACAAAAGTAGCCATATGACTTGGTGTGGCAGTCATTATCTATACAAATATTCAGTTCATTTTTTTTCGCAATTTTTTGGATTATAAACGGGTCAGTCATATCTACCAAAATCAGCTTTCATTGACAGGTATATTATACAGACCATAAGAAAATTAGAGCAATCTTGAATTGCTTTTTATCTTTCTTGCTATAGTTATGGAGTGCTTCTTTTTCTTGGTATAGACCCCCTCACCTTTAGCATCCTATTCTTACTCCCATTAAAGCCCAGTGGTTAAAATGTAGACCCTGAAATTAGATAGACCTGTTGCCACTTTTTAACCTTGGGAATTAACATGTCTATGTCTCTGTTTCATCAGTTGTAAAATAGGGAACCCAATAGTAAATTCTCATAATGTTGTTTTAAGGATTAAAAAAGACAATTTCATGAGGATTAAATAAAATAATGCGAGCAAAATTCTTGGCATTTTGCCTGTCAGAAAGTAAGCAACTTAACACACTTTCTATTTTTCTTTATCATTTATTCCAAGTCATCCTCCCTTCAGTTAGAAAAAGTACTTTTTCAAGAGTTGAATAGTTTATTCCTTGGTCACGATTATTTTTCTTTGCAGTTATGGACGAGTGTAAGCCATACTTTAATTGGTATCAGAGACATTTTGCTGACTTTAGAGAAAAAATGTAATGATCTAGCAGTTGTGTTAATTGGAAAAGTGGTGTATATTCTGCAGTTCCAAGAGGTTGCCCCTGAATATCTTCTAGAAAATGAACAAGTGCAAAGGAAGGAACAGGGATCTCACCCAAAGAGAGGCCAAGAGGGTAACCATGGCCATGTGTGTAGTTTCAGGGTCACTCTGTGACCCTACACACAGTGTGACCCTGCACACAGTGACCCGGAAACCTGAAAGAGGCATTCGCCCTGCTGTTCTTCAGGTTGCCCGACAGAAAGCTGCGTTGCCTTTAGTTATAATGAAGTCGCCTGTGATCATAAGGCAGCCAGGCTACAGAAGAAAACTTCACCATAGTGAATAGTAAAGGTCTCTGCTGGCAGACAGCCGTGTGGTGGAATCTTGGCTCTTTCACTTCCATAATAACTCTATGAAAAGCCAAGCCATTTAATTTTTGAGAGACTCAGTTTTTTTTTTTTTTTTTTTTACAAAAATATACCTTTCTCATAGAATTGTTTTGGGAACTAAAATAATCTAAAGCAGCGAGTAAAATTTTTGACCCATAAACATAGAATTAATACAATCATCATTGTAAAAGCAATCATTATTGCTTTTATTTTTAACATCATAAATTGGCTGTGTCCTATGAAAGAGGGTTAGGTATCCTGGCAGATACTTAACTCTCAAACATTGGTACAGTATTCTAAGTCCTAATCAGAGCCTAAGGTACAGGTGGGATAGATGAGCATAACCAATCACTTGATCCAAATATGCCATCCTTTTAATACATTTACCAATTTTCCAAGTGGGGCTAATGGGGAGTCCTATAGAGTATGGACAAGTGAATCAATGGATGAATTCTAACATACTTCTTCAAGGTGCACAAAAATGGTCCCAGTTTTAAGTGGATAAACAATTAATATTCGTTAGTTTGTAATCTTTTTAACCCAGTGTAATTTGCCTGAAAGTCTGTTAAGTACAATCCTCTCATTATTCTAATCCTGACTACATGTAATAACAAATACTATGAATTTTACAATTAAATACAACCGGCTTGGAATTTTAGCTTTGCTTGCTATTACCTGTTTCACCCTGTACACATCTTGTAACCTCTCTGACCTTCTGCTTTTCAATTGTAAATTGAGACTAATAATGCCAACAATAATACTGGTTAGGGGATTAAATGACAAGTGTATGGCCTAACATACAGCCTGGCTCCTAAGGGTACAGGGTCTATATTAGCTTCTCTTTCCCAATCTGGACTACCCTCACAGGCACCTCCAGGGCAAGGCAAGCTGTCTCTGAGAAGCTTTCCACAGCTGCTATGTTGCTTCCAGAGAAAATGTGTTTTGAATGCTTAAAAGTTTCACTTGATGCCATATATCTCTACTGGACCAGAGTGTGGTGACACCATCTTTCTTACACCTACCTTTGAGACATGTGCTCTGCCAAGTAAACAGAATATTTGAAATAAGAATCGTACCAAGACACTATAGATTCTCGATATTAGCTACAATCTCACCACAGGGACAGCTCCTGAGCAACATGGTTTATAAAAGGTACACAAGTGTGTTATATTTCCTGTGTTTTCTATATGTTTGGTGTATTTTGTAATTTTTAAAAAGTAACTTTGGGCCGAGAACAGTGGCTCATGACTGTAATCCCAGCACTTTAGGAGGCCAAGGTGGGAGGCTTGCTTGAGGCCAGGAGCTCAAGATCAGCCTAGGCAACATTGTGAGACCCTATCTCTACAAAAAGTTTAAAATTCAGTCGAATGTGGTGGCACATGCCTGTAGTCCCAGCTATTTGGGTAGCTGAAATGGGAGGATTGCTCAAGCCTGGGAGATCTAGGTTGCCAAGAGCTGTAATCATGACACTGCACTCCAGCCTGGGCTACATAGTGAGACCCTGTCTCAAAAAAAAAAAAAAAAAAGGAAAAATTCAATGTTAATCAAACAGACCTGGATTTAAATCCTGACTCTACCACATAAATGCAGAGTGACCTTTAAAACAAGTTGCTAGTATTCTCTGAGCTTCAGTTTCCTTGTTAGTCAAATAGCAATAAGAGTACCTAGCTCTTCCAGTTTTTTCGTGGTCCATAGACACTGAAAGACCTTTCAAATTCAGAGACCCATTCACATATATGCAAGCAAACACACATATCTTTAATAATTACTGATTGATTGACAATGTATATTAGAAAAACACTGATATCTAAAAATACCTTTACCACACTGTAATTACAAGATTTTTTCCCTTTTATAAACAATATTTTCTTTTTACAATTTTTTTTACATGCCACCAAAAAACTAACATTTGAAGTTACCAATCACTCAAAACAGAGTATAGATTAATCAGATGGTTTTTATCAGATTTGCCAGCTTTAATTTTTATGAAAATAATCAAGGACGTTGTGTTAAATACCCTTACTTTTAGATACTACTACACTAAGTGCCTAAGTTACTTTCTTTTATTAAGGGTGCGTGTGTGTGTGTGTGTGTGTGTGTGTGTGTGTGTGTGTGTGTGTGGTGAATGTGTAGGGGAGAGGAAAGAGGAATACTTTGATGGAAAGCATGCTAGATTAGGTCCTAGCAAAACCTAGTAATATGAGATGGCTGGACTCTTCAAGCCTGAGAGAAGCATCAGTAAGAGGTGGATCATATGTACTGTGCAGAGTGATGAGAAGGAGGTGGAAATTCTTCAGATTGTACATTGCGTAAGTACAGAGACCCCTATCTTATTCCTCTTTAACACTTGTCATAGTACTTAGCATAAAGAAGATACCCACGCAATGATGAAGAATCTTAATTGAAAATCAACTTTGTATATATTTCCTAAAGTCAAGCAAGCCAAGAGAGAAAAAGGTCTAAATCAAATGTCTCAAAAGATGGAATTCTATGATTTCCAGAAAATCAACTTCTTCATGTGATAGTTCATATATAGTTCATAACTGTCATCTCAGCTTTTTCTTCTTTATAGCAAAAATTTTACCTTTTAAAAATCTGCTTATTTCTCCAACATTATTCCTTTGGTATTTGCATCTTCAAAATATGTGTACATTTATCAGGATATCCTCACATAGGTAAGTCATACTTATGTAGCTTCTTTAATCTTACCTCATAAGTCTGTCTCTCTGTCTCTTTCATCCTTTTTACTCCCCTCTATACCATTTGCAACTTCACTACATCAAATTATGTAAAAGCTGCCAAAATGAAGCTTAAATTTCCCTTCTAGGGAGACAGCTGTCCTGTGAATGAGATGCAGTATCTTTGTATCTTTAAAACAGTGCTTAGAGCATGTATCCTTAGTTTTTCTTTTATATTTTTTATCTTTCACTAGGCTGTGAGCTCATTTAGGACAGACAAAAAGATACATTTTTTATATACTTAGTACCTTGCAGAGGTTGAAACATAGTAGGTGTTAAATAAATATTAACTAAATGAATACAATAACTTAAAGCATCCTAACTCTTCCCCATCCCCTGCCCCTAAAAGAATTGAATTTATTTGATCCAAAATGATAGATTCTTCCTTTTTCTTGTTCCTGTCCTTGATGATGATTTAAAATATATCAAAGTCAGGGCATGTAATGAAGCTATAAAGCACCCCTGTAGGGGAATGTTTTTGATCAGAAGAAAGTAAACTACTCTTTATATCCTTTAGTTTCTTCTCCTTTACTATCAACCATGTAAGTAATTCAGATGGCACCTGGTTTGCATATGGTTCTTGTTTGTTCTTATTTTTCCAACAGCCTATCAGAGCCTAAAGAAATTGATTTAGTAACCTGGAGAGATTGAATATTAATTATCTATTTATACTTTTGTACCTTTTATTTTAAATTCTTTGCTTTTTCCTGCTATGACACAGGGAAGAAACTTTCTGGAAAGGGTTTAAGCAAGAAAATTGGATGGGAATACTTATTTTAGTTGCTTATGTGCTTTATTATCATTATTTTGTAAATATACCATGTGTATGAAATGTATATTCTGGAGTTTTTATCAAGACTTACAAGAGCAGTGATAAAATATTTTAAATGTCACCTTCTTGGTTTGGAGATTTGAAAACAGTTACTGTATGTTTATTCTATTATCAGTTTATTTTGTTTGAAAGCATCATATGAACTTCCAAAAAGCTCTAATCATATGATTTTTTTCATTTATTTATCAACATTTTAGGTAACAATAAAGCAAATAGTGCTGGACCCACATTATTGATAGAGATATTAAGACACTGAAGATTTAAATATCGCATACTAAAATTGTGGCATGTTCTAAGCCTATTCTGAGTAAAGAAATATAGTATGTTTTCCATATTATCTGAATGGTTGTTTACCAGTGGCAATAAGAATGTCCTCCTCATATTTCATATAACAGTGAAACTACCAGTTCTATATTTGCTTTTTAAAATCATGGCCACTTACTTACATGTCACATTAATTGTAATGTTTTTGCTTCTAATTGATGGTCTGAAATATCCTATGACTAACTTAATGTGAAAAGTACCTGTATTTTTTCTCCCTGGCACAGCTCTCCAGGTGATGTCTGGACTGAGAAAATAGCTGTCATCATTACTGTTCAAAACTATACCCTTGTCACTCTGGTGATGCGGGTCTTGATTTAGTTCCAAACACATCGTCATAACAAGAAATGGATTTACTATATAACCTCGGGGGGTGTGTGTGTGTGTGTGTGTGTGTGTGTCTGTGTGTCTTTGTGTCTGTGTGTGTGTCTGTGTGTATACACACACACACACAGACACACACACACATAGCCCTGGGGTTGTCGGAGATCAGAGACATCCCTGATGCTGCCCAGACCAGTTCTGAAAATACCTGGGCCATCTCCACTAATTGAAAAATTAGTCCCATCTGAAAGCTACATGGTTTCGTTAACCATTTACTAGAAAGCAAACATGACTTTTATAAACCTACTCCATTTAGAAAAATTAATCAGAAGCTCTTGCCTTAGGCTTCAGCTCTTTGCTTGGGGAAACTTGGGAATATTGGCAGAAAGGGCAGATTATGGGATGCCAGAGAAAGAAAAAATCTTGGCATTAATCAAACAAGCATCCAAGATGAATGACATGGGTGCATTTCTTTTAACTTTCTCATTGTCACATACTGAAATAAATGGTTGTACCACTGTTGGCATCACCAAAACATGTCTTCTGATACCTCTCATAATTTACTTCTCAACTGTGTTTTATTTTTTATTATCAGTCTGTATCAGGAATCTATTATTTCTACTGCAAGGTCATTGCCATTGTGTATGTGTCTATGGTGTGTGTGTTCCCATGCTCACAGGTGTGTGTATAAGTGCACGTTTTTTGCCCTTTTTAAATAACAAGTTCCACTGTAGGAACAGAACAGGAATGCTTCTAATTTCTTGAAAGTCTCTATTGAATGTGAACTGAGCACATGATGAAGAGGGTAAAAATGTAATCAACAGTGAGTGATAGTGACACTGTTCCCAAAGGAGGGGGAGGAGGAGAGAAGACAAAAATCAGCCCTCGTGTTATGTGTTAATTTCCATGTTGTAGAAATACAATAATATGTCCTGGCAACAGCACCCTCAGGGAAGAGCCAAGTTTTTGTCGGCAACCCAAATTTGTTGGCCAATTTGCTCTTAATCAGTTGTTTGTCATTGCCTGGCACAACAGCTTGCATAGTTATCATACATTTATTTCCTTTTGTTGGGACCCCTTGTGGCACTCTTGCTGCCATAAAGGACACCTGAATTTCCTAACATGGGGTTCTTTGTCCTGTGATTTAAGCATGTGAATTTTGTGTGGCTATAGAATGTGGAATTTCTACTTAAAAATAAACATATATGTCTATATATACAGACCTGTAGGTATCTGAATTTCACAGCTGGTTTTTCTGTTTCTACCTTTATCTACCTCTGTAGGCTTTTGTTACAAGTTCAGACAATTGGAAAGTACTAGCTGAGGTGCAGTGTTTTAATATTCTAGATATCTTGAGTTTAGCTTGTGAAACATGGCTGATATACTTAAATAATTTTCCATGTGTTTAACTTTTTGAAATGACTTTTTCAGGGAGAATATTTACATAGAACACACCTTTGTAGTCTAGCCTTCAAAATCCTCAATTATCTGGCTTAAGTGAACCTCCTCACCATAGTTTTCAGCACTCTTGTTCAGATGACCAGCTAAGCTGTCTATACTTCAGCAAAGAAAAAAATACTGTTCTTTGCTGTTGAACACTAAGGGGCAAAAGACATTTTTATTACAAAGTTTTGAGTTTGATTTACGGCGTGAACATGTATTAGCTTTGTGGTTTTAGGTAAATTGCATATTTTAAATTATTTCAGCTCTCGATTATTCATATTTAAAATGCTGTAATAATACATAATATTGTTATTGTGAAAAATGAAATAAATAATTATGCTTAAGGTATATAGTTCAGTATCAGGCTCATGGTACCTGACCAATGAACTATCAGCCAGATTCTGTGTTTTTCTCTTGAGCCCTGTTTCTTGGTATTTACTCTGTCTGGAGTTCTTCTTCATTTTTTCCTTTCTAAATATTATTATAATATCCCATTAGAAATTCTGCTATAGGAAGCATACTGATTTCTCTTCTTTGGTTTCTTAAAATACATTGACAGTTAACTCTTTAGACGCAAATATATTTTTTACATAATAAAATGTATTTACTTAGATTAGATGTTTACTGAAAGCAATCAGCATGTCTTCCACATTTCTCAGAGCCCTGACACAATACTGGCACTGAGTAGCTCTTCAGTAAATGTCTGCTGAAAGGAATACTTTTATCAATGGACATAAGCACTGACCTGTAGATAGGGTGGTTTAAGTGGATTCTGATTAACCATACCAGTAGAAACCTTTAATGTGTAATACTCTGTATTCTCATTTTATTTTTCTAAAGACTTCCCATTAGTTGGTGAAGGATTGGTTACTATTTGATGGATTATAACTAAGCATGGTCTTATATTGTGTGCAAGGCTTTCATCATTGTTTGAAGACAGCTCATCAATTAAATGCATCATTCCATGGATAAATAATGAGATGAACTCTCTTCTTTGAGTGTTTGTTCTGTCCCCTTTCTATTTTATCCCATGGACCCTGTTGTCCACACCTTCATCAGACTGTATTGTAGTATTTTTTATCTCTCTCTATCCCACTAGACTTTTCAGGACAAAGGACAAGACATTTTTATGTATATGTCTTTAATGTGGTACCTATTCCATTGTAAGTGTTCAATAATGTCTGCTGAGTGATTAGGTGAATGAATAAATGAGGCAGTTCTGACAGCAAGGGGAAAGTCTCTTAGGATGTAATCAACAAGAAATGAATTAGAGAATGCAATGGCATTCCTTTAGAGAAAAATGAGAGGGATCAAATGGGTTCCATTTTAACAAGACCTACAATGGCTCTAAACATTCTCAACCATGCATAACTCACATGATAGACACTCAAGAAATATTCTTTGAAAACCCAAGGCAAGAAAGAAGTAAAAAAATTAGTAAACAAGTGAACGAATAAACTATGGTCCAGAAAAAGCTGTCCAAAATTTCACAGCTAGTAAGTTGTTCCAGTCTTTCAAAATCAGGTCTCTTCCCGGTTAAACATTATTTATTACTCCACTCTTACTGTTTCCATTGTCCTTTGCCAGTTAAATCCTTTGTCCGCCCCATGACTGGCCTATTGCATTGCTACTTTTTGCTTATTTTTGCCTATTTTCCCAACTAGACTGGAGACACTATGAGAGCCAGGACCTTGCTTTAGTTATGCTTGTAAACTTAACATTCAGAAGAGTAAATGCACCAGATAATCACTAGATAAATGGAAAACAAGAAGAAAATTTCTTATTTTTTTCCTCTCAAAACAACCATCCAATAGAACTTTCTGCCGTAATGGTTATAGTCTGTAATCTATGGTAACCACCAGCTATTTTTGACTAATGAGCACTTGAAATGTGACTAGTGTGAATAAGGAACTGAATTTTAATTGTTGTTTACTTTTCATTTTAATTCAAATGTAGAAAGCCATGTGTAGCTCTCAGTTACTTTAGTAAATAGTACAGTACATCCTTATACAAAATTTCCTCTTCTGCTGTCCTAGATTGTCCCTAAAAAATACACTGAATTCCATTTCCTTCTAAAACATATCTTCAACATACAGTCTTCTCTTTATCATATTACAATATTTGGCATATTTCTTGGGTGTCTGCCAAAATAGTGCTCAGTAGTCTCAAGCATTTTCCTGCATTGCTTATGAGTGACAGTGTCAGCATAAAAAAAAAGTTGCATTTTCATCCCTCTGCTGTGTTCAAGATATGTTCAGCAGCATTTTATGGGAACAGGGGACAAAATCAAGGCAATATTTAAATATGGACTTTTTCAAGTGTCATTAAACCTTAAATAAACTCTAGTAAGAATATTAGCACTCACTGATGCACGTTTTCTGTTTTATAAACAAGAAGACTGAGGTCTAATCTCATATGGACACAAAACTAGTGATGGCAGTTTCATTTGCAAATTTCAGATGCTTTGGTCAGTTCTTTCTAGAATGTTCTATGTTGTGTATTGTGAATCTTATTTTCTAGGAAAGTAGCCTTAATCCAGAGATTTTGTACATTGGCATTTTGATCCCATTAGCAGCATTAAAAAAATATCTCCTATTTCTTCTCCTTCCATTAATGTTTCCCTGAAGTCTTCTTCTCCCCATGATAGTTGTAGAATTCCCAGCGTTCCCATGTCTGGAACTGGAAGCAGGGACACAGGAAGATGACCAAAATGAATTGTTCTAAAAATTGTGTTATTGGTTGGACAGAAACTAACAAGGGGAGTGGAAATCGCTTAGATTTATCACGGGGTAGGAGAAAAGAAACAGCTAAGGAGAAAAATAAGTACTTGTGAGTACTTATAAGACACTTGACAAATGAGTGTTTACTAAATGTCAGGCACTGAGCTCAACACGTTATATGCACTTTTAACTTTAACATTTATAACAGTTTCTCACAGGAGTTATTCCTATGCACATTTTTACTCTTACTAAAACTAATGTCTGACTAACAGTCTCAAATTGTCCAGAATATAAACAGCTGTCCAAAGATTTGAACTAGGGTCTGACTTAGATTAGATGTTTCCTGAGAGCCTCATCTCTTAATCTATAGGTTTTGTGTAATTCTTGCATGAGACTTTCCTCAAAATTGACATTCACTGTGTAACAAGCACTGAGTTCTTCTTCACTGGCTCTGTTGCCTTCAGAATTTTACTTTTGGGTTAGCTTACATGTCCTGGTGCTCTGTTATCCTTCCAGAACCTTCTGAATCTAATTTTTCTTATTTGTCAGTATAAACTCTCGCTTTTCCCTTTCAGTAGCACAGTCCAACTTCATTAAAAAGGAACATGGTTATTCTGAGCAGTTTGCATCAAATAACAAATCTTTAGTTGATGCAAAAAATTAGTCATTAAGAATCAGCCATCTGCTTCTCTAATCTCCTTAAAGTGCCACATCAAATTGGCAGATACCATTGGATTTTTAAGGAAAAAAAATCCTTAGTGTGAAAAACTGACATTAAAGTTTTATGTTCTCTTCTTGTGGCCCAATAAACAATATTAATGGCAAAGCATGCAAAGGATTAATAGTTTCTCCCTGCAAGAGGCTCAGTTACAGCAATGCTGAGGAATTCTGCAGGCTAAAATATGAGCCCTACAGTACCTCTGAGGCATAAATTATTTGGTTTTTCTTCTCCGTGAAGGAAAGCCTGTCATTCTAAAGGCAATTTTTCTCTTTGATCCTTTGTACTGTAATTTCATGCACTCATTGCAATGCACCCTCCCACATACAATATGTTGTTCTCCCGACACTTGGCCTTGCAAACCTTCTTTCCTCACCAGTCAGTCCCAAGAAAATGAACATACTTCTAACAAAAAGTTGCGTTTTCACCCCTCTGCTGTGTTCAAGATATGTTCAGCAGCATTTTATGGGAACAGGGGACAAAATCAAGGCAATATTTAAATATGGACTTTTTCAAGTGTCATTAAACCTTAAATCAACTCCATGAAGAATATTAGCACTCACTGATCCAGGTTTTCTGTTATATAGACAAAGAGACTGAGGTGCAATCTCATATGGACACAAAACTAGTGATGGCAGTTTAATTTGCAAATTTCAGATGCTTTGGTCAGTTCTTTCTAGAATGGTCTATATTGTGTATTGTAAATCTTATTTTCTAGGAAAGTAGCCTTAATCCAGAGATTTTGTACATCTGTTTTCAACTGGACAGGAATATGTTTGATGGTAGTCATTAAGCCTTACAAGGTAAATAGACAAAGTGGCAGTGGATTCTGCTTGGGAGAGAGGCCAATAAGGTCCTTCTACACAACTTCCCTATAGAGCTATCATGATATCTTAAACATCAAACTTAGAAATTTAATAATTTACAGCTTGATAAGTTAGGCTTTACCATGGTAGAATTAGGCCTGTGTGTTGCTGTTATTATTATTATAAATATAGTTATCATCTTTGTCAATATTATTAGCAATTTACTTAATACTTTAAGTCTCAGTTTTTGTGTCTTCAGAGTGGGCATAATAATAGCAACAAGGAAGAATTGAAATCAAGATCAAACTAGGAAGCTGTCTTACATAAAGTGGCTAGCACAAGGTAACATTCAGTGATCCCTCTTCCTTCTTCAAAAGGGGAAACCATTCCTGTTTGCATTTCTAGGAGTGAATGGAATGTCTACTAGGACAGCAATAAAATGTTACAGTGCATTCAGGGATTTCCATCTTTAAAAAGAATCTGCTAAGTAAATTAACTGAAAGGAAGTTTCAAGAATCGTATCTGAAGAGCTTAGTAAACATGTAGACTAGAGAGAGTACGTAATGGGATTTCTGCATTAGTCACATATTTGTAGGTGGTACGTACTACATTCACACCCTGCAAGGTAGAGCAATGGGAGAAAATAAAACTTAAAAAAAGTGTGCAAAATGCTGTTTGGGTGGCTTTGAGAATCTGGGCCAAGACTTCCTAAGAAAGTGAAATGTGACCCCTGAGGCAGTAGAAAAGAGGGAAAGTGGGGCATTTGTTGTTTTTATTTAGTATTTTGTGCCATCATCCAGTAATTCCCAAGGTCTTGTATTATATAAGGCAATTCTACACATTGAAGAATAATTCAGCTCCAAGTGTCACAAGTGCATCCCCATTAAACGTAATATGGTTATGAAGTATGAAAGATGAGGCATGGAGGCATTAGGCTGATGAAACAAGTGGACAGGGCTGAGATCAGGATTTATTTCTAAGCCTTATAAATAACTGAAAACTGAGACTGAAGAGAGAATTAGCTATAAGGTAATACTACATGGAAAATATATAATAATAATTTTCTATCTTCTCTACTGGTTTGGATCTCTACCTTGCCATGAACATATCACTACCTCTCTAGAGATAAGGTGTATTCAAATTATTAAAAGCTAGCCTTAGTTTTATAAGAGCCCTAGAAAACACAAAATATGAGATTATTGCAAAATAAATATTTAAGTAATTAGATAAATATCTTTTTTTTTTTTTAGTTTTTGTTCACATTTACTGTTGACCCTTGAACAACCTGGGGGTAAAGGACACTGACCCCTGTACAGTTGAAAATCCACATATAACTTTTGACTCCCCCAAAATGTAACTACTAATTGCCTAGTGCTGACCAGAAACCTTATCAATAACACCCAACAGTTGATTAACACATATTTTGCATGTTATATGTATTATATACTATATCTTTATAATAAAGTAAGCTGGAAAAATACTATTTAGAAAATTATAAGGAAGATAAAATATATTTACTGTTTATTAAATGGAAGTGGATCATCATAAAGGTGTTCATCCTTATTGTCTTTTCATTGAGCAGGCTGAGGAGGAGGAGAAAGAGAAGAGGTTGGCCTTGATGTTTCAGTGGTGGCAAGGGCAAAAGAGGTGTAGGAGGTGGAAGAGGAGGCAGGAGGGGTAGGCATATCAGTGTAGCATTTACTGAAAAACTTTGTGTATAAGTGGACCTGCACAGTTCAAACTGTGTTGTTAGAGGGTCAACTGCTTTATGGTTCAAAATAGCTTAGCATGATGGTTGATTCTGGATTCTGGAATGAGACAGCGTGGGTTTGCATCTGACCTCACTATTTGTCTCTATGATCCCAATAACTTATTTACTCTCCCTGTGTCTTTGTTCTTTAAAAAATCGTATTTACATCTTCATAGCGTTGATGGGAGAATGGAATGCACTAATGCATGTGAAATACTTAAAACTATCCACATTCATAGTTTGCAAAAATTTTCTCTCACTTTGTAGGCTGTCTCTTTACTCTGTTGATAGTTTCTTTTGCTGTGCAGAAGCTCTAAAGTTTAATTAGGTTCCATTTGTCAGTTTTTTATTTTGCTGCAATTGCTTTTGGTGTCTTCATCATGAAATCTTTGCCCGTGCCTGTTTCTTGAATGATATTGCTTAGGCTGTCTTCCAGGGTGTTTGTCATTTTAGGAACTAGTCTTAATACTTGGGTGACAAAATAATCTGCACAACAAACTTCCATGACACAGGTTTACCTGTATAACAAACCTGCACATTTACCCCTGAATTTAAAATAAAAGTTAAAAAACTACCCATATCATAAAGTTGAGCATTCACTACATGTTTCTCATTGTTATTAGTGATTATTTTAAGTGAAGCAAATTAAGAGAATTTGAGGAACACCTGTCTGATTATATTGCAGAGATCAGAAAGTGAAGACAATAACTATAAAAGAAAAAAAAGAATACATGAAATATAGGCCAAGGACTCAGAAATCATCTAATCTCAAAATTACAATCTAAACTCTGCACTTTAATTTAGCATTGAAAATTAGTCAGACTGCAATACCTATCTTAATTTTTTTGCTACATTTAACACAGAACCTGAGCAATGCCTATTTTTGAAAGTGGCACCACAACTTCTTGTTTTTAGACCCTTACTCCTCATTTTCTCTTTACTACTTTTTCGATTTGCTTGTTAACTTATTCTGTTCTTCAATATCTCTCTTTGATTGTACTCTAATTATAAACTAATATCTGCAACGGGGGGTCCAATCTTTTGGCTTCCCTGGGCCACATTGGAAGAAGAATTTGTCTTGGGCCACTCTTAAAATACACTAACAATAGCCGTTGAGCCGAAAAAAATAGCAAAAAGTCTCAGAATGTTTTAAAGAATGTTTATGACCTTGTGTTGGGCCGCATTCAAAGCCGTCCTGGGCCACATGTGGCCCATGGGTGGCAGATTGGACAAGTTTGATCTTCACTATTTCCAAAAGGAAAGAAACAAATAAAAATAAACTACTTTTAGTTCCCTGAGATTCACAAAAAGTGCAGTACTTTTTGGTTAGAAGATTGGTATTTAATGAGTCTTTGTGTTGGAGGGTAAGAGGAGTGAAAGAAGAGATGGACTCTTTTGGGAGGGACAAATTGGAATAGGATGAAAACATTTTGATTTGTTGGATCAAGAGACCAATTATGTAGTCAGAGGAGTTTCATTTTATTCTTGTTTCAACTTTGTACATGAAATTGGGAAATTACTTGCAATTCCTTGATCTTGATATTTTACTCTTTGTAAAATGGGTGTTAATAATAACCATATTTTTAAGGCCTATATTTGGAAGAAAGTGAACTGGTATTGGTATGACTGTAATTTAAGACACTAATGATTTCTTTTGTATTATTATTTGATTATTCAATTATGGTGCACAAAATGAGACTAAATTATAGTGATGGTCCAATCATAATCTATGTTGCCACAGCTGCTATTTAATAGCTGGCTGGCATGTTAATTCTTATATAACCCACACGTCTCCAGACCTCATTATTTGCTGGGTATAAATGAGGTTATACAGCATTTCTACCTACATTTTAAGAGCTTATTGCTCAAATTTGCTAGGACACAACTCTTTCTGACAAAGCAGTTGCTTCAATCTAAGAAGCTTTTATTGGTGTACACAAGAGGTGTTCACATGTGCTCAAGAATAGGCGCTCATTTTTTCTCTGCTCTTTCCTGCTGATCCGAAGACATTCCGTTAACTGTTTTAACTCTGAGACTCTGCCAGTGTCTGTACCCTGCTTCATCAGAAAAATGCTATTTAAACCAGGATTGTGTCTCCTGGTTAATGGGACATGTGAACGTTTAGTAGAGCCAAACAGTACTCCCTTGCCTTCAGACATTATTGAAGCCTAGCTGCCCCCTGTTCTCAGCAGAAATGAAAGGATTCTCTCTGAAGAGGTCAGTTAGAGTATAAAAGGCTTTGCTGACTGGGTGCCATATACCACGATAGCATTTTTATTTTTCTATCTTTCCCTTTTCTCTATTAAGTGACTAAATATAAACTTACCATTTGAATGTTTCCTTCCTCTTGTGCAAAACATTTATGTGAATGAGAAGTCACAGTTCTCTTTGACTGGTGCCAATCAAAGAGTAAAAAGAACAAAACAACTTCAGTGGCAGCAGCAATGTCAATGGTAGTAATATAATAAGAAAGAAAATCACCATAATAATAGCCAGTAGTCAATGGCTGACCATGGACCCAGCACTCTTGTTAAGTACTTTGCATTTATTATCTGCAGTCTTCACAACCTATCTTTCAAGTTGGTGTTTTTTACCACAAGGATCAAATCATCCTTCTTTGTAACCACATTATTTCTGATGAGCTGATTGGAGAACATAGTTTCACTCAGTAGCCAGGCTGGCTTTTCTGGAAATCCATATGAAGTAGAAAGAAAGGTATGTCACCCACTGCTTGGCATAACTACATAACCAGAGCCCTCTCTGCAGGGAGGCGCATCTGAAAAAGGAGAGACGCATACTCTATTCCTTTCAAATTTGCAAATTAGATTAAGTCCCCCTCCTTTCTAATAGTGCAGTGAAGGAAGGTATAGAGAGAAGCTGGAAGAGTCCATTTTGTAGATTTCCCTCCTAGAAATGGACTGCAAATTTCTTTTCCGTTGTGGAAACACAAGTCAAGTGAAATCAGTGCCTCTTCACTCTAATCCACAATAGCCACTATTATGAACTCCATTTTACAGATAAGGAAGCAAGGACTTTGACATCAAACCTCCACAGTCAGATGCATAAAAAGTGAAGGATAGAGACTTTGAATGTAGGTCATACTGACTCCAGAGTCTATGCTTTTAAGGCTCCCTAGAGTGCCTCTTTGCATATTTGATAAAAGGTGCAGGTGAATGAGGGATTTTGGCTGACATCTAGACTTACAAGAACTACTTAAAAAAAATTATCACTGGGCTAAAGGTAGCCTAATTAATACACATATAGACTAGTTGGTGAGGAGTAAACATATGCAAGGAAATGGATGTTATGGAATTCACTTGCATATGCTAGCAGCACTAATACTATTGAAAGCATGCCCTGTTGCTGTTACAAATATGTGATCCAGTATTTCCTGAATACAAAATGTGATAGGATACTGTAGCATAAAGTATAAATGTGACAGACTCATTTGCACAGATTTTGGCAAGTCCTCAATATTTCCCTTCAAGTTTCATTGCCTCTAACTACAAAGTATAACAACCCATAAGGTATACAGAAACTGTAATGAAACTCTTCTTGAGTGCTTTTATGCTTTTAAATGTAGCATTTTTGCAGGTTACAAAATTATGTTCACCCTGGAACCAGTGGCGATCTGTTTCTGGAAAGAAACATGATCTGAAAGAGTGATTGCTGCTCTCTCCTCCTCCCCCCTGCCCCTACCCCTCTCACTTACTTCTTTCTTCACTGAGACATTGCACATGGATCAGTTTTCAAAGTCAGCCACCTTTGAGAACCTTCCCTAAGATACTTTCACAAAGCTCATTCATAGCAATGTTCAGAGCACACTTTTATTCCTAATCTCAAAGGAAAAAGGCCTTTTTGGTGTCACAGATCCATTGAGCAACCCCAGCATCTATGGAGATGTAGTTTGCCAACAGTTTTTGCCTCTTCTCCCAGATGGTTCCCGTAAACAATATGAGCGACATTAATTTTGATGTATAAGAAATTTGGCTAATAGAAAATTATATCTGAAAAACATTTGGAGGTTTCTACAGTTCCTCTTTATAAATGTCTAAATGTCAAAGTTAGTTTGCTTATGTCCTAGCAAACTAACTTAAGTGACTTTACAATCATTATATCTCCCCTATTTAAAATCATACCAGAAGAACTGCTGTGGGAGCAATTAGGAAAGCATAACAATAAAACAGGTATATTGTCATAATGCTTTATGCCAGAGGATTTTCCTGATAAAATCCTATCTCCTAGGACTGCCCTAAATTTATTCTCCTACAGTTTGGGTACATAGAAGTCTTAAACTGGCAGGTTCTTGCTTTTGCTCTCTCAGAAGACTCCAGGGAAGAATCCTTCCTGCTTCCTCTGGGCCACTAGCAGTTCCCAGAAATTCTTGGGATTCCTTGGCTTACAGCTACATCACTCCAATTTCTGCACTCATTATCACATGTCTTTCTTCCCTGTGTGTGTCTTTAAATGACCTTTTCATAAGGATATCAGTCATTTAATTTCTGGCTCACCTTAATTTAGTATGACTTCATCTTAACTATTTACATCTACAAAGATATTATTCCCAAATAAACCCACATTCTTAAGTTCTAGGTAACGATGTTTTTTTTTTTGTTTGTTTGTTTGGGGGAGGTGGTGGGTATGGGGGTGGTAACACTATTCAACCCAGTACAAATCCTAAATTCGGTAAGTACCAAAGAAGGCTTATTACACGTAACTGTTTGGCTTCTCTCCCAGTGGTTGTCCTCTACAGAGGAAAGCTGCTAATATATTGAAATATACAGAGCCCAGTGGAAGATCAGCTCTGTTAAATGGTTGTGAGAATAAGTCCAGGTTAAACACTTGTACAAAAACAGTTAATCTACAGTGGCATTCAAGATGCAAAAAGAGGAACACATCTTGACAAGAAAATTCACCACGTGGCTTACATCATACGTGGGAAAGAGACTTCAGTAGCTAAAGTCTCACTGCAAGTCATTCTACTAAGAAATATCAATCGGGTCATAGATGAAAGTGCCTTATCATGAATTCCACAGCAAACATGTTATAGTGCCTACATATGCCTTTGTATTTTCCCCTCGTAAACGGTTTTCTCCTACTTCTGTTTTTTATAGTTCCAGTGAGTACTTAATTCTGACTACCTAATTTGAAGCTATTTTTATACATATAGTTTTCTCTTTTATTCTACCTGCTAACCAGGTGACTTTGAGCAAATTGCTTTTAAATAGCAGTGATGCCTGCTTCTCCTATGATAATAAAATAAAATAATCAAGTAAAACACTTATTACAATGCTTAAAAATTTATAAGCACTAAAATAATATTCTATTAATTTTTTGAGACCTATTCATAGACACATTTGAGATAATGTAAAAATATTTATCAATACTGAGGGTTTGGCAGATAGCCAATAAGTATCTAAATATGTGTTTACTTTTTATTTCCTGAGGTATTATAGGAACTTGAGGGAAAGGAAATGTCTGTCAGTTGTAAGACTGATCTTGCACCTTGGGTTTTAGGGGGTCATCAATAAATACTTATCAAATGTGGAAATAAGTGAGAATTATAGCATTGGAAATGATGTAGAAAATAATCAAGTCATCATTTATTGCAGTGGCTTTCAAACGTGGGCATCATTCATGCCTTCATTACCTCATGCCCTGCCTGGCACATGAATGCTCAATACATATTTGTAGAATTACTCATTTCATTTTTTTTCCTGTATTCCCAAATACAATTTTATTAACTTTTGTCCTCATGTTATATGTTAGATTTCTAAATGTGCTTATCTGACATAACTGTTATTTTGCATCTTTGATCTACATATCCCCAGTTCTTCTCCCCCCTGCTCCACTTGTGGTAACCCCTGATTCATTTTCTATTTGTATATTTTAGCTCTATTTTTTTCTTCTTGAGTTGTGTATTTAGTGTAGATTTCCATTCACTTTGGACTTACTGAGTATAGAACACTGAAGAAGAAGGCAGGGCAGAGAGAAATGTTACCTTAAACCAAATTTATAATATAACCTATACTCACAAACCCCAGAGTTTAAGAGTCACTGATTTAACAACTTTTCCAAGTCCCTTGAACACCTTGAACAAGTTTATAGAACAAATGATTTTTTTTTTACCTTTACCCTTTCACAAAATGCTTACTTATATGGCCCAAGGCAGGACACTTTTTTTTTTTTTTTAATTAAAGCAAACCTCAACCCTGTATACTGCTTTTAGTTAAAGAAAGCTATATTTATTCATTCAATCATTCCATTGATAATTATTTCTTGAGTAGCTACTATATGCCAGGTACTTTGCCAGGAACACAGTGGGTGATGAAGACAAACTTAGTCCTTGCCCACATGAAGCTATGGTGTAGTGGAGAGGGCAAGCACATACATCAAAGAAAGATTTTCTCATAGTATTATATATTTTGATGGTAGAAAGTGCTATGAAGTGCAAGCATGCAAACACTGGATTGCAGACAGGCGACTTACCCTAATTCAAAGTGGAGATGATCAGATGAAGTTCATTCAAGGACATGATGATGAATTTGACACCTAAGGAATGAGTAAAAGTTTGCTACAGGAAGAAAGGGAAAAATGTATTCTAGGTAAAGGATTAGCAAACTGAAAGGTCATAGAACACAAAGGGTTTAGGAATGCTGAAGAAACTTAAGAAAGCCATGTGGCTGGGGCAAAGTGATCCAGAAAATCATCCTAAGGGCAGGGTAGTGACAGGCAGGTGGGTACTAGATTATGCAAGATTCTGTAGTCGCCGGTTACAAAGGATTTAAGACAGTGCCTCTCTTCTCACATTGGCACACTGGCACAATGGAAACGTCACCAAAACCCTGAGCCAGCCATTCAAAAGCTGAAGACTGATTGTTTCTCCTAAATGATTTATCCCTCTTAGTGCCCTGTGTTGTTTTTTATTTGTTCTATTTTGTTTTGTTTTAAAGAGACCACTCACTTTGCATATGTAGGAGATAAGAGCAGATCAGGTTATCTCAACCCACCAGAACATTTATTCTATATCCCTCAAATCCTCGGCAAACAAAATAATTAACTTCAACAATGTTTTATGCAGTTTTATTCATATATTAATATTTTAAAATGCAAGTTCTGGATAGACATACTCAGAACAGGATAAAAACAGAAGAGAAAATTTCCTCATTATCTTGGTAAATAGTATGTCCTGTGTAACCATAGCACCATTTCTTCCTTGGACATGTTTCTCTCATTAACATAATACAGCATATTATAGTTTCTTAAGTATGTTAATTTTGGGGTATGGTCCAAATGAATAAAATATTCATGTCCAGGATTAGCACAATTCAGATGTTCACAGCATCGTTCAATGGTAATTGTAGAAGTGTGGGGAATCAGACTTTTAATTAGCGGAGCCTTGGTTATGTGTTTGCCCAGGCACATGCCCGATCACTGGCCAGCAGTCTGGTCCAGATATTACTTCAGTGTAAGCAATTATATGCAAGTAGAAGCACCTCTTTTCAAGAATTTTCTTTTGTGATTTTTTTTTTTTTTGCTGCTCACTGTTATCCTAGATTAGGCTTGGTTGATTACAGCTGAACTTGAGAAATAAGGAAAGTATATCTTTGGTGCAATTTCTTCCTTTTGTTAGAGACTGTTCTTTAACCCTTGCTTTCCCCTCAAGCACCCAGTGACCTCATGATATCTCTTGCCTACCCTTTCCAACCACAGTATTGCTATGTCCTATATTTAATTGAAACTTAGTCGCTGTGTGTTTTATTTGTTCCAGATTCTTCCACTTCTTTTTAATGACACAACCATGATATAAATTATGCAGTCTCAGAATCAGAATCAGGGACTCTGGGTGCATATCTACATACTAGCCTTTAACTCTTGGAACCTTGGTTTTCTTATTTGTCAATTAGGGTCATAAGGGTACTTACACCACAGCATTTTGTGGGACCTACATGTATATGGATGTATTTTGTAAGCTGCAAGGTCCTGTGTAGATATTTTATCTTTTTGCTAAATGAGAGTATGTGGGTGTAGAGTAAGCCAGTCTGCTTACAAATTAAAGAGAATTCAATTATCTCATCTCAGCTAATGGTAGTGTATCTTTTAGATAACTTTATTTTTTTCTTTTTAAAATACCATGCCATCGTATCCCTTCCTAGCCAGACTGTAGATTGGCTATGTAGACATCATTAGAGTCCAAATTACCTGTGAAAAGAGAAGCAAAACCTTATATTTAGATCTAAACTTTCCAAACCTGTCTAAACATCAAAATTTCTTGTTAAATTAATCCTTACATATTACAACTGTGGATGCAAAGACAGGTTGAGGAACTATGATATACCTATTGGTATTTAAGGAACTACTAAGGGCCACTTTCATCAAGGCACTAACTGGTAAGAACCCTCTTCCTGTCTTTTGGTATAGTTTAGAATCTTTGTATAATGGGTTAATGTTCTTTCTATAATTGGCTTCACTTTGTTTCTTAATGCTGTCTCTCATCACTGATCAGCTGAAATGATTTGTAATTCCTTGATGTTTTCCCTAGTTTACCAAATGCCTTCCTAGCCATTCAGCTAATTCAACTGATTCTTCAAGGCACAGTTCAAACATAGCAAACTCATAAATCTTCCTTAGCAAAATGGGTCTATCAATTCCTTCTGTTTTCGTGGAGTATTCTTTGCCATACTTTTAGCACAGTGTTTGTCATAGTATACCATGATTATTTGCACATCTGTCTCCCCCAGTACCATGTGGGTCATTTGAAGTCAGGTCTTTTAAATGGGAACACACTATTATGTATGTATTTACATATAGATCCAAATTATACAGCTCTAGTGGATATATTGCCCTATGTGTAAGGCTAGTACTTCAAAAACGCATCTTTACTGAAACCCATTATCTTTACCCTAGCACTACCACAATCTCCACCAAAAACAGTCAAAACTCTTTATCTACTTTCTATTTCTCTGTATATTATTCATGTCTATTCTCCCAGTGCCTGGCTTAACAAATATTTGCTGAATGGATGTGTAAGCCTATCTTTTTTTCAAATACCAGGCATAAATCTTAAAGCAGTGTATAATGTATGTGTTATACAATTTTGTAAAAAATAATATATTTCAATTCACTCTCTACTTCCTTAACCTGATATCTTTTGATGCCTTTCAGAGAAAATTTAATGTATTTCTCTGTTGGGTTATGGAACAAGAAGCTTTTTAAAAAGATATCAAGGAAAAAGAGATTGTGAGAATGAACTAAATGTGTCAAATCTTGCACTGTGATTAGAAAAGTGATCTACTGAGGTGACCCTGGAAAGTGACATCCCAGGAGAATGGTTGGTAACTTCACTGAAATATGCTTATCTTGGCCAACACAGAGGTTTCAGATATTTAGCCATTGCAGCTAACATATATAACTATGGGTGTCGGGTGGTGTCTAGGAAACTGTCTAGCAAATTGTAGAGGGTTTTAAACCAGGGTCACCCATAACATTTTGTTTACAGTTATTAGGGTGATATATAACAACAGTCAACCATTTATTGGACTTTTCCATTCTGATTTTTGACAAGCACCTATATTCCATAAGAACAAAGCAGAGAATAATTACCATCTCTCCTCAAAAAATACTCTGTATTTTTTTCCATATCTTTGATATAAATAACCATCTCATTTCCCACAAATGAAATCTCATCCTTCTTATTTTCTTCTTGGACTTCTCCATCACTGCTCCACACCCTTTTAAGCCAACACCAAATCTGTTGACTGTGATTTAGAAAACTCTTTGTTTCAACTGTTTCTCTCTGATAGCACTGACACTGATTCAGTCAGGTGTTCCTCACTTCTTATCACCTGTCTGTCTCCAAACTGAATCCTCTACATCTAATCTTTCTCCATTCTAGCCTTTCCTGCCTCCATTTGTCCTCAGAGGACTAAAATAATATGAGGATTATATTATCCACTTCCCTTTAAAAAAAAGTTATCATCTCCTCATTGCCTAAAAAGTAATGTCTAGTTATCTACAGGAGAAAAAAAGCTTTTATCAGTTAATAAAGACATTTGACCCCAGGAGCCTGCTTTGCATATAGTCATAACATCTTTTATACACTTGAAGCAAAACAATACGATCAGGCTAATGTCATTGTAAAGTACATGGTGGACACATGTAGCAACTGGGAATTTACAGGAAATGAAGCAATTCTCTAAAAAATTGAATGCTATAATATTTGATTGCTAATTTTAAAGCAAATATTAGCTCCTGAGCTCTTATTGTTCTGATCATTTCCTGTTACACAAAGGAATAAAGACAAAAGAATAAAGAACCACACTTTTACATACTTGGGTGATTTCTACTGCTTCCATACAAACTTTGTCAGCACCATGAAAAATCCATTCTGTATTCTATACAGTAAGTATTTGCACCCTGATCAAAGACATGAAGACATTATTCAGTCTGTTGGGAACAGCATGCTCTAGATGAAAAAGGAAGCATATGATAAATAAAAATAATGATAAGCTACAGAAATGTAGAAGATTAAGACTAGCACATGGTAGGCACAATGAATGTACACTTGATTGAAGGAATACAATTGATGATCAAATTACAAAGGTACATCTGTGAACAGTTTTACCAATTTTATTTTTAAATCATAAAAGTCATGTACAGGAAAAGGACACCAGTGGAAATCTGAACAAAGCCTGCAGTTAAGATACTAGATTTGTACCATTGTTAGTTTCTTAGTTGTAATAGTGCTACCATGGTTACGGTTCTTGACATTAGAGGAAGCTGTGTGAAGGGCATATGGGAACTCTCTATACTATTTTTGAAACTCCTCCATAAGTCAAAAATTATTTCAAAATAAAATGGTGAAAAGTAAGTAAGTCTTGAAAAAGCACTCATAATCTCAACTTTTCTTTTTCTAATTTCTGAGTACAACATTGAGAATGCTGGTGTGTTTTGGCCTTTACTGCCATCCATTATTGCTCCATCCTCTTCCTGTGTTTTTCTCCCAAAGCATTTAACTAGTTGCTGGTAAGTATCAAATGGAATAAACAGTATTAAATATATATACATACATTATATACATACATAAATACACACACGCAAATAAAGTCTAAGCAAAGATGTTACAACATTAGTTACTTGGAAATTAAATATTATAAATATCTATTTTCTTATAAAAATTGCATAGCTTTGAACATAAGAGAGAACACAAGATGTTCAAACACACAGTTTTCAATTAGGTAAGCTGGATTTCATAAATAAAAATATATCTTACTACTGTAACTTAAAAGGATTGAAACTCATGAAAAATCATCTATTCTAGTTTCTAAAGTTTGATCTAAAACTAGTTCTGGTGTCTAAGATTTGTTGTCCTGCAGGGTAACTATCTTCCCTATTGGACGTTTCTTTTGAATTTGATTAGTTTCTTTTCCTTTCACTATTCCTCTTTTAACTTTCTTTTATATTATTTTGTTCACTTCATAACCTCCTAATTTTTAGATTTTTAGTGTTTTTAAAATTTTCTGCTCATGCATGCAAGACAATAAATGTTCCCTCCAAGTAGCATTTAGCTGTATCTCACAAGCATGAATAGATATATTTTAGTAATCATTAAGTCTTAAATAATCAAATTACTATTGTTTGTATTTCTTCCTTGACCAATAACTTATTTATGCATGTGTTTTTTATATCAAAAATTTTTCTAATTAGTTTTTTTTTACTATTAACATAATTGTATAGTAGATAGCAATCTTTATACTCTGTATCACACCAAGCATTTGAAATTTGTTCAGATTTGTTGCGATTTGTTGTTTTGTGGCCCAGTAGGTTGGCAAGTACAATAAATGCACACATCTGATTGAAAGAAATACAAGAGTATATTCTGCAGTATTTGGGTAGAACATTTTATATTAATTCATTAAAGCAAGTTTATCATATTCTTTAAATTGGCCACATGATTTTTATTTTTATTTGCTTGATCTATCAGTTACTGACAGAGGGTCGAGAGAATCTCCCAATTGACACTAATTTAACTATTTCTCTTTGTAGTTCTCTGACATTATGGATTATAGTATAATCTCTCTATATTATATCTATATAATTAGATTCATGTAAGTTTAAAATTATCATAATTTCCTGGACAATTGTATACTGACTATATTTAGCTCTACTAATGCTTTTTTACCTTGAGATATGTTTTTCTTTATTATACTACAACTATACAAACTGATATAGTATACTAAATCATTTGTAAATGGTATAGTATACTAAATCATTTTAAAAGCTCCCCAAAAAGTTTGTATAGTTCAGTATACTATACAAACTGACACAGTATACTAAATCATTTGTATAGTATACTGAACTATACAAACTTTTTGGGGAGTTTTAAAATTCATATGCAACAGTTTAATAACAATGCCAATGGATAAATAACAACATTCCAAATAAAAGGCTAGGGGCTTTTGAATCAACCGACAGTGAAGTTACTCAACAAACATTACATAATACATGAGCACTTAGTAGGTCTTCAGAGTACACATATTTTATCTGGTCTTCAGAAACTACTCTTTAAACATTACCATTGAATTTAGATGCCAGTTATATTTAACACCCAGGAGATTTTCTTCTACCATATGTAATGCCTTGAGAAATGACAAACTTGTTGGCATGTTTTTAACTGTAACAGTTTTGACAAGATAAGATTGCTATTTCTTTCCCTAAAATCAACTTGTCAACTTCCCCAGGTTTCTATTGTTTATGGCTTTATATTCTACTGTTGTATGAAGTATTGAGTCTGATGAAAAGTGTTATAATACCTATTATTTACTGTACTACTCAAATGAATAAAACAGGTAAGATAAAAATACAACTAAATAAAAGAGACTAGCATAGTTTTTATTGTGCTTGAGTGTGCATTATTTATTCTGAAAAACATATTTACTACCTCCTAATGAAGTACTACAGAAAAGTTGAATATATGTTAGCAGGTTCTTAAATGGTTCAAAGCATTTATCACTGTTACCTTCAAGAATCTATTGCAAAATAGGTTACGGTTCTCTGGTGTCCATATTACAGCTTTACATTTTAAAATAAACTTTCGAAGATCTTTCATTACCAAAATTGTATGTAAATAACACCAACAAAAACAACTAAAGGCTATAATGGGTAGACAAAGCTTAAATTTTAGTGCAGAATTAGGGTCAAAGGGCACAAAACCCTGACCTACTTCTATTTTCATCGAAACATTTCACAAGCTTTGTTTTGGTTAATATTTTCCTGGTGTTTCTTTTATCATCTTTTTACTTGTTACATGTCTATTTTCTTATGTCTTAAATCTCTTATAAACAACAAAGAGTTGGAATTTTTTTTTTCTAGTCTGCCTGTCTTTTATCTGGGTCACTGAGTTAATTTACATTTGTTGGCATTTCTTAAATGTTTGTATTTATTTCTATCATGAAATGCTCTGCCCTGTTTGTCTTGTTTCATGCATGTTTATGTATGTTTTTCTTTTTCTTCTTTTTCTGTTGTTTCTTTCAAATATATTTTCTTTTTGATTAATATTCAATGATCATTCCATGCTTTTATATCTGTTAATACAAGTGTTGATTTTATGTACTCTGTTTTTCAATGATGACCCTAGAAATTTCCAATTGTACACATATCAAATATGAAGAAAGTCATATTCTTATACATCTAAATAATAAAAGACTCTACATACAATATTTTAATTCTGACCACCTACATTATGGCACAAAATTGTGGCCAAGTTTTTTAGTTTGTGATATGAGAGGCCAAAATAGTACCGCTTCCACAACTAAGATTGACCTTAAGATTAAAGAAACAAAAAGTTGTCTATAGGTCCAGGGTTCCAGGCCCAGCTGTCATGGCAAATTCCTAAATTCATACAAGAAAAACTACACTTTCACTAACAATAGGAGCTATCAGGCAAATTATCCTAACTCTGATTCACAACCCAGAAAACAACAACTCTGATTGGACAGATGACTGGCCTTGCCAACATTCTTTTCTGATAAGCAATTGCAGACCTTAAGCCAGTTTCGGCCAGCTTATAGAGGCTGTGCACAAGCTGTCTTGGTGTCCTGTAGTTCGCCTTTTGATATAGAGTCACATTCCACCTCATTTTAATGCTAAAACCCTGCCCTAAGGTGAACCTAAGATGTATGTTGCATTGTATGCTTACCCATTGCATGTGCACTCTGCTTTCCTCATAAGTATGTTTAGCTTTTTCACCAAATCTGCTGAATATGTATGACTCTATTGTGTAATGCAGATCTGTGAGGCATAAAACCCAACTTGTCCTTCCCTGTTTTGAAGAGAGTACCTTCAGCCCACACCAGAGACGTCCTCTATCCAGCTTGCAAACCTATGTTGCCCAAAGCTCTCCTTTCTACTAGTTAGCCATCCTGGTGGTCTTTTGTACTACAAGTTCTTTTATTATTTTTATGAGTCCATAACACTAACATTTTAGTTTTATATAGTCAGGATTTGTTAGTTTTATTTACATGTCTTCAAGTTTATTTGGTCTTTATTTTCTCACTGAAATTTCAGACCTTCCATGTAAAATCATTTTCTTTCCACCTGAATTTTCTTATTACTTAGTGAATTAATTCATTAAAAATATTTATTGAAAACCTATTATTTTCCAAGCAATATTTTAGCTTATATAATTGTAGCAGTGAACATAGACAAAAATCCCTGTCCTTCATTTAGAATTTCTTTCAGTGATAATCTGTTTATATTAAAGCAGGTATTATTTGTCTGAAAATGATTTATTTTTCTCACTCTTATTTTCAAATGCTACTTTTGCTGGGTTTACAATCCTAGCATCACTTTGATTTCCTTTCAGCATATTTAAGGTATGATATTATTTTTCTTAAGTTTTGATTGTTTTAGAAATGCCGACTATCAGTGTAATTATCTTTAAGGTAATAAATCTTTAATCTCTGAAAGCTTTTAAGATCTTCTGATTGTTATTGGTAATCTTTAGTTTCACTACAAAGTATTTATATATAGATTACCTTATTAGGCATTCCTGGGTTGTCATTTTTCATTAGTTATGAAAAATTGTGAGTCATTGCCTATTCAAATATTCTCCCTCATATTCTGTCTTTCATATCTAACAGCTTTCCTATTCTGGACTTTCATTTTACTATTTCTCTTGTTTTTGCTGTCAAATAAGCAGATATAAATATGAATATATGCATATATATAGATTATATATATGCATATATATATACAAACACATATATCTGCTGAATTGGCAGAACAAATGAGATAAATATTATATATAGATAGAGCCAGAGATAGAGAGAGCCAAAGAGAGATAAAGGTTTTATTTATAAAGCTCTACTTGATGCCTTTTCAAATATATATATTCATTTCATATATATGTGTATATAAATTGGATATTTTAAATTTTCAGTTTTTCTTATTTCCAAAAATTCTACTTGAAACTTTAAAAAATATATGCTTACTCATTTTAGAATTGCTTATTATCTTTTTTCCATCTTTCTTTTTTCTTTTTTTTTTTTTGAAGCAGAGTCTTGCTCTGTTGCCCAGGCTGGAGTACAGTGGCGCAATCTTGGCTCACTGCAACCTCTGCCTTCTCAGTTCAAATGATTCTCCTGCCTCTGCCTTCCAAACAGCTGAGATTACAGGTGTGTGCTACCATGCCCAGCTTATTTTTTGTATTTTTAGTACAGACAGGGTTTCACCCTATTGGCCAGGCTGGTCTTGAACTCCTGACCTCGTGATCTGCCCGCCTCGGCCTCCCAAAGTACTGGGATTACAGACCTGAGCCACAGCACCAGGCCTATTGTTCTTTAACTATATTGAACCTACTTAATATTTGGTTCCTGATCATTACAATGTCTGAAGTGTTCAAATGCATAATTTTCCTATTATTTTTATGACAGTTTTTATTTACAATGTTCCCCCCACTTTGGTGTTTTTTAAGTTTAACAGTGAGGTGTTATTTCTTGAACTTTATTTGTCAGACTTTTTCAAGGTCTAGGTTAGAAGTGTGTTTCTCCAAACAAAAATCCTATGTGCTCGCTTCTCTATATGCCCAGGGATGTTTTTGCCTGGAACCACTTTACAAGTGTGGCTTCAGATTTTCAGACCGTGCAGATAGCGTGGTTTTACATTGAAGTTATGTCCAAATATTGGCTTATAATATGGATTCATAGGAAAGACATTTTTCTTCTTCACTTCTAACCACTATTAATAGTGATAAGTTTTCTTGGAGTCTTCAGAGAAAAGAGTAGGTTTGTGTCTAACCTATCCTGACATTGCAGATGTAGTCCTTTTGCAGAGAGAAAGAGAGAGAGACAGACAGACAGACAGACTACTATTGGACTTCTCACAAAGGTAGACCCAAGATTCTGCCAGGTCACGTACTCCCTTTGAAGTTGTGAATCTGAGGCTCAAGTTAAATGGATTTGGCAAATTCCTTCCAAATAAAATCCGACTTCAGTGTTTCATTTTTTCTTTATGGGTTCCCATTTTTACTTATCCTGTTTACCTTTCTACCAGCTTATCCATACATTTTAATAGGTGTTTCTTATAAACTGCCCAGTTGTAATTAATGCTAATTTTCTTTTATATTTTTAAGATTCATATTCAAGTATTTTTTTCTACAAACTTCCCCAGTTTATTTGTGAATTTCAGTGTTGCTTACTTTCTCAATCCTTTGAGTCTATTTTATGTGTGTTCATAGCTGCACATGAAAAAAAGTTTCTATCTACATTTCAAGTTTCCTGTGTACACAAGAATACAAAATGAGACAGGAAAGAGGGAGAAATTTTCCATGTAATTAATCAATAAACAAACATTAAAAATGTGCACTCTGGCAAAAGTGATTCTTGATACAATTCTTCCCTCTCTCTTAATTTCTAGATGTAATATGTTACTGTCAACTACAGTGCAAAACATAGAATCTGTTATATTAAAGGCAACACAATTGAAAATACCTTCCCTGTTCACGGGGCTCAAATTTTAAATAAAACTCTATTTTTAAATTAGCTACTCTAAAGCTGTGCTTTCTCAATCTTGAACTAATTCTTGCTAACCTTACCCTTCAGTTTACCTCCTTAAAATTTCCCATTGCACAGTGGACTTATCTTATCTTCTGAGGTGGGTATCTTACCACTGAGGACAATAGTGTGTGTGTGTTTGTGTGCATGCATGTGTGTGTGTATCTAAATGATGAAGTAGGGAGCACTGTAGGGTGACTGGTTCTACCTTTCACTTCTCTGTTGGAAGTAAGGAAACCCAGCTGGTTTTAGACAGAAAGACTAAGGAGAGAACTAAATTTCATACTGAGAATAATTACGAAGACATAGATCTTGTTTAATTATTTCAATGCAGTATTCATTCTCTTACACAGCATCTATTCTGCCCTTTTTTTACCCCTAACATCACCAGTGTTAAGTACTGAGGCACACTGAGGCAGGAACATCAAGAAACAAATCCAAAAGAAAATGGCCATGAATCCTATCAAGTTTAGAAATAGAAAGAAAGCTGTGAATAAAGGCCCTGGGTAGGCTCAAGGCTAGGGAAGGACTTTTGACCACTCTCTAAGGATGGGGCTATTTTATGATACTTAACTTTATTCTATATTATTTATATAAAATACTTATCTTGTGCCCAAAGTTAAAACTTTCCTAAAGAAAGTAAAGGCAATCAGTCAACTTCACTGCTAACTTCCTGCTAGTTACCAGTACTGCCAAACATCCTCCTGTTGGCTTGTGAAATTATATCTTTAAATTTTTTTCTACCACTCACTCTGTGATTGTACTAACAGTAAATGTGAATAGAGAACTCTACAGGAAGAATCAGTAACCATGGTGATGGGAGGGTGCTTTCTGCAATAACTCTACTGTACAACATAATTTATGCATGAATGTAAAATCACAGATGTTTTGAACCATATGCAGGCTATATTTAACCACAGTGCAAGTGACAAGTTACTTGGGAGTTACTAATCCAAAAGAGGTGAGCTCCACTTAGATTATAATTCTTTTTTCTCTTCTGGTAGAAACCACTTAGATACAGGGCCCTACCCCTTTGGGAGTAAAGTGTGGGTATAAGTATGTGTGAGTTTATATGTCTGTGTGTCCAAAAGGGTGGGGTATACAGAAAAAAACAAGCATGAAAATGAATATACTGAAAAGATAATGAAGAAAGAGAAATCAAGACAATATGAAAAAAGAATAAAAAACAGACAAAAAAAAAAAACTCTTCCCGCTGACTTATATTGTTTTTGTTCCTAAGTCTTGATTAGAGATATTGAGTTTGAGTCATACCACTGATATTTCAACTTGCATTAAAAATGAAGATCTTTATTTTAATTTTTAAGCTAGAAATCAGTGCCTTGGGTTATAGGGAATTGCTCTTAGACTAGTTATGTTTACAACAAAATGAAATCATACATCTTCATAGGAATCATTTAAAAGGTTAGACTACATTTAGTATAACCTGTTTAGAGATTCAAGGAAAGTCTAATAAGTGATTAAAATCTTTGTTTCCAAAATTTCTATTCTTTTGGGCCTGAATTCCCAAAGGATAAATCCTTAGTTACCCCAAATCTTGAGCATACCGCATGGATATTTCCCAGAACTGTTTCCACTAGTTGCATTGTCTTAAGAGATGAATTACTGTAAAGTCTGCTCTCCGCTGTAAAAATAAAGCTGCTTTTAGAACAGGTTTTCTAAAGGAGAAACCCTTAAGAAATCACAAAATTAATGCAATACCTTGTGGAACAGGGCTATTTTCAGTGTCATTGGCATTTTAGTCTTCAGAGACAAAAGAAAAAAATGTGAAATGGAAATAAAATAATTTACATTGTAAAACTTTTCATTTCTCCTGGCACTTTGTGCCTATTTTTGCCTTTTCTTCATTCCCATGTTCTTTATCTCTTAGTAGAATGCTGCATCTGTTTCTCTTTGATTAAAGTCCTACTGGCCTTTTGCCCCTTGCCCTACCTCTTTGCTTACTGCTTTTTTTTTATTGCTTCCCCACTCTTATTTTAATATAAATTGCCTCAGTGGTAATTAAGTACATTTCTGCAGATCCAAGAAAGTCGCAAGTCAAACAATTGTTTTTCTCTCTTTTGTGCTACCCCCACTGCCCGCCTTTCTGAAGCACTAACATGGAGTTAAACATTAACAAAGGAGCCTCAATATTAACCCGGATTAAATATAAGGGAAAGTGATTACTACACAGTTCAAGAGGGCGATTGCCTCCTGGCGCATCCAGCTTTGCCTTTTCTATTGGTACGGTGCTCTCCAATGAGAAAAAGCTGGAAAGCTGCTGGAAAGTCACTGTTACAGTAAAGGGACTGAGTGGCATCAGATTATTGTCCTTGACTGTAATAGTTGTTTGGTCCCCAGTAGGCCACACCAAGGCAAAAATACCCATAACGAGTAAAACATTTCAGTGCTTTTCAGGTGGCTCTGAAAACTGCCAGTTTCAATATTGTGTATTTGAAGGATCATCTATGTTTTCTAAGTGGAGAAATTCTGCATAATAACACTTTTCCCTGAGATTCAGTTCTGTCTTGTGAAATGATTCTGTACCATGCCATGGGAAAAAAAATGTGATTGAAAACATTTAGCAACACGCTTATCTACCTCAAATATCTATCGGTTATCGTTGTTTTTTTCCTGATCCCCTTGAAAAAATAACTGGTACTGGTGGAACTGTCCATGCTACTGCTAATCTAAGCAAAGAAGTATTGTGTCTTCTCTCTAGCCCAGGCTGCTTATTAGATCATTGAAATACATTTTGTACTGGTCTTGGGAAAGACAACCTCATGTTAGCGGTTGAGAAGCCTGAATTTTTCTTTGTATGGGGAGAGGAACTTTGTATATCTCGTTATCAATTTAACTATGGGTCTTAGCCTAGTGCCTGACACACAAAAGTGTTAATAAATGTATTTTTCAAGAATGAAAGGAAGAAAAAAGGATAATTTAAAGGGAGGACAATTGAAGATAAAAATAATTTCACATGTACTTTTACTGACACAGTCATAGCACATAATTCAATGAACTCTGCACAAACTTGATTCCCTGGATAACTGCATATATCATATGAGCATTTCTTGGACATATGGCTCCAAAAATAAATATTTAGTTCAGACTTCAGAAAATTGGAATGTTAGATTTAACCCATTTTATTAGTTGAAGCCCTTTTCTCTTTCATAACATTTTTCCATTGAAAGTTAATTGCTTTAGGTCTTCCCCTTGTCTCTATTAATCCTCTAGCAATTGTTTGTCTATCATCTATCTATCTATGATCTACGTATGTGTGTATCTATCTATTTTCTTTCTATTATAAGAATATAAATTTTTAAAATCACCTGTAACTCTATTACTCAAATATTTTTATCAATGTGTTTATAATATATGTATATTTTCATGTGTGTGTCAGTATATTGTGTATATTATACATACACAAATACACACATAAATATTTCTAAGTTCAGTATCTACATCTTAAACATTTTTACATCGCTAACAATACTTCCCAAACATGCAATAAACTATGAGTAATATCTCTTTAGAGAGTTATAGTAATTTATTTTACTATTGTTTTATTTTTGGTCATTTTATGTATTTCTAATGTTTAACCATTAACCAAATTTTACAATCATTATTTCTGTTGGAGATAGGATAATCACTGCCTGGGGCCAGGTGTTGCTAGTCTGGCCATTAGTTGGAGATGATCTACTTTTGTAGAGCTGAGATTTGTGTCATCTAATTCAATTCTACTTTCAGCCTTATTTGTAGACATTTGGGCAATAGGTAAAGCTACAAGGCATCTCAGACTTGCTAGTTATTTTTTCTACCGGCAAGTTCCAATTTGTGCAGAGAAGCAAGGCTGGCAAAGTGGCATATTCTTATTCAGCACACTCCCTTGTGGCCAGGCAAAGAGAAAGAAATGAAACAAGAGTGCAATGGGTGTTTATATTGTAATTCTCCTGGGAACTCAGTTCATTTTTAGAGTTTATTTTTTTTTTCTTTCTCTACAGAGTAAATTGTTTCTGGAGGAGAAAATTTTATACAAATACAATTAATGCTAGTCTTCTCATTTTTAGATTTCCATGACGTTTAAGATCATTTTGAATATTATATTAATATAAAATATCAATTTATATGTGAATTCTCCAATCTTTCATACCAAGTCTTCACAGTTTAATCTGAACTTCCCTATCCATCATCATCTCTTGCAAGTTAGTGTGAACGCCATACTAAATTTCCTAATATTCCTAAAATTTATGAATATTAATATAAATTTAGGAATCTCTAGGTACTTTCTATATTATTCTCTGCCTAGGATGTGTTCCTTCTTTCTCAACTGATAAACTCAAACTCATTCTTCAAGATACTATAGACAAGCAGGCAAAATGAGTTTCTATTTCTTCTCTGCCATGATAGCTATTAATTCATAGTTTGACTATAATAGTTCTATAGTATTGTGATATCCCAGTTTGGCTCTCTACCATCCTGATGTGATCCAGGCAGTAACTGTGCCCTATTAATATTTATATTATGATAGATGTATGTAAAGTGTTACACCTAATGTTTGTTGAATGAATAAATAATGACTGAAACTCACACTGAACATTGGCCAGAATGAGCTGTCATAGCAAATGATTCTCCTGATGCTGTGTATGTCTTAGCCTTATACCTTACCCTTAAAAACAACTTGTCTATATTTCTAAGTATCCTATTTCATACCTACTAACAGCGGTTCAGTCTAGAGGTGATGCTTCTATCAAATGTACATCTCCTCCACTCTCTGCCTTAAGCATCAACGGAAATTGTACTTACGTATGTCACACTTTCTGATTTCCTGTTAGCACCTGGCATTAAACTTTCCATTGTTTTCTTCTATTTGATTATAAAAATGTTTAAATATATATAATAATAATAATGTTTAACCCTGTCACACAGATTTAACAGTTTTTGATCTTTCACCATATTTGCTTCACTAATTATTTTTCTGTAATAGTCTATTTATTTATTTTGAGACAGGGTCTCACTCCCATCACCCAGGCTGGAGTGCAGTGGTACCATCACAGCTCATTGCAGCCTTGACTTTCTGGGCTCAGGTGATTCTCCCTCCTCAGCCTCTCAAGTAGCTGGGACCATAGATGCATGCCATCACGCCCGGCTAATTTTTTGTATTTTTAGTAGAGACGGGATTTTGCCATGTTGTCCAGGCTGGTCTCAAACTCCTGGGCTCAAGCAATCTGCCCACCTTGACTTTCCCAAGTACTGGTGTGAGGCACCATGCCCAGCCATTTTCCTATAATATTTTAAGGTTACATATATACATTTTTACCGCAAATATTTCTACATACAACCCTCAAGAAAAAATGTTATTTTCCTACATAATTTTAATAATATTTTTACACCTAACAAAATTAATAATTTCTCAGTGTAACCTAATACCCTGTCTATATGTAAATCCTGCTCATTATCTCCTTAAGGTATTTTACTATTGTCCTGTTTAAATTGAGATTCAGTAAATGTCTACATACTGCTGTTAGTTATGTCCTGATTTTATTAATCTAAAATAGTCCGTCTTTTTTGTTTTATTAATAACACTGGCATTTTAGAAATCACTTTTGTTGTGTTTCATCTTCTACATTTATTTGACTATTTTTTCTTGGTATTATTTAACTTGTTACTCTGTCCTCTGTATATCCTATAAGTTGGAGGTTAGATTCATTGTCTGAGTAAATTCAATTTAAACACTTGGAACAAAAGTTTTTTTTTAATTTTTCTCTTCTAAATAATATGCATAAAATCAATGTATCCTCACATCTGTTCTAAAATTGTATGCACAGACTCATAATATCATATAGTGTGATAATTTCAGTGTACTTGGTGATACTGAGTATTTCTCAGGTAAAGGATAAGATAGTAGAAAATAACATAAGAATGAAAATACCAATTCAAACCTTAGTGCTGGCTCCAAGGAATTCAATTAAAGAAGGAAGTTCAGACAGATGGTTCAAGGCAGTTTGTGTCCCAAGTCTAGAAGTTTGGGGGAAGTCATCAAGATCACATAGGTAAGATGATATTTTAATTCCACTTTGACTAATTGGGTTATGAGATTTAGGTATTGGCCAAAAGAATGTATTGATATGATATGAAAATTTTTTTACTAGCACAATGGGCAAGATATTAATATAGCTACATGCCAACTTTATTTTTTAAACAAATAGGGCACATGGTATTATCCAACATTCAAAAGCAATATTTAACTGAATATTGGACGTTAGTAAGATCTCATTAAGTACAAATATGTTTATACTTTTATTGAAAATTCTATTTCTTTGCTTAAACTAATATCCTAATTCGTGATCTTTATAAATAGCTGATGCTGCTTGTAAATTTTCATGGATCCTATACATTCATAACCCAAATTATAAAAAAGCTTACACTGTCGGTATCTTTATATTTTTAGAATTCTGAAATTTACACAGTGAAAAGATCATGGCCATTTGCATGCCTGGATTCAAGTCCTACATTGCCACCTGACAAGAGATATTCCGAGAGTATTATTTTGAGATAGCCATGCAGAAGCAATCCTGTCAAAACTTAAAATATTTGTCTTATAACAAATAAGGTCAACAACACAGACTCCCAAACATTTATATATCCTTGATCCAGACCCAAATTAGGGAAGACTTCAATTATCTGAATTAACTGTTTCTTAATAGTTTAAAAATTTAACTGACAGTTTTACAATGTACTACATTTAGATGTGTAAGTATGTATACGTATATCTTAAGAAATATATGTGCATAAATGTGCATGTCTGTGTGTGGGTATAATAAACACACAACTAAACGTAGTTATTTTAAAAATATTGGGCCAAATATTTTTAATATGTCAAATACAGTATATATATGCTATTAAAATGCTGAAAAAAAGGATACAATATTCAACTGGGGATTCATTGTGCAAACTGGGTCTAAGCCCAAGAGATTATATTATGACCTAAATAGACTCTACTCTTTCCTAATGTCTAGTATATTACCATAACTCCCCATATAGTTATCCAAGTATAAGAAGTTATTAGGTTTTCAAAATATGTGCTAAATGGATGTGTTAGAATAGTCATAGCTGTACAAAAATGGAAAAGTATTCTTTCTCTAGATTTTTAAATAAGAAATAGAGTAAGTTCTATTGCTAAATAGCTAAATCTGTTTAGTGATTAAACTAATTTGAGAACTAGGTCCTTAAATTACAGTTAATTTTTCAGAGAATAAAAAAATTAGGGAGATTTATGATTTCTTCTGGAATATATTAGATTTGTAAATATATGACTCTGTTACTCTTTTTTTTTTTTTTTTTTGGTGCCCTCTTGCAAACAAACCATACCTAACTCTTGCTTCATTCTTTTTTATTACCTCTCCTAGCCCCAAACCCAACATTAGCCCAGATTTACCTCAAGGATGGATGTTAGCAATACAAAAGGAATCAGAGATGGGGTTAGGCTCAGAAATGGGTGAGAGTATCTGTGTCTCCAACTTCATAGCATTTTCTGACTTGAATGTTATTTAATAGTTCATAAGTTTGGTAATATTAAAATGCCCACTTATCAAACTTGGCCCTATCAAATGAGACACACCAAGCATTCCTGTTTCTGAAGTGGCCTGCTGAAGTAAAACTGATCCCAAATGCATGTATCAATAATATATGACATGGAGTATGCTACGAAACCTGTCTAACTTTCAGTCTTCCCATATGTCAAAGGACATAATTATACTCAAGTAATAGTTATTTCAGAAGGCTGTATTGAGGAATAAATAATGTTGTATTCACTGAAGGAGCTAAATAAATATTGTTCCTCTTTCCATTCGTGGTTACTTAGTTGCTCTCTTTTTGTACAAACCAAATACAGCCTGAACACATGGCTGTATAGCCACATTCAACCTGTCACAGTCAGGCATGCAGACTCTGGTCAATTTCTTTATTTTATTTTATTTTTTTATTGAGACGGAGTCTCGCTCAGTCGCCCAGGTGCCCAGGCTGGAGTGCAGTGGCACGATCTTGGCTCACTGCAATTTCTGCCTCCGGGGTTCACGCCATTCTCCTGCCTCAGCCTCCTGAGTAGCTGGGACTACAGGCGCCAGCCACTACGCCTGGCTAATTTCTTTGTATTTTTTAGTAGAGACGGGGTTTCACCATGTTAGCCAGGATGGTCTCGATCTCCTGACCTCCTGATCCGCCTCCCTTGGCCTCCCAGAGTGCTGGGATCACAGGCATGAGCCACCGCGCCCGGCCCAATTTCTATCTCTGTTTTGGAGGAAGTCAGTGTGGCAGGAGTTAAGTATGTGAATATGTGGTAAAAATCTCTTGTTTGCCTAGCAAAATCTTTGAAAGGGCTGGAGTAGGTAGGAGTTCAGCAAAGTTTTACTATATCCTTGGTTTATTCTTCCCCATAAATATTTATAACTCTACATGCTTTTTAATTTAGAAGAACTGTCTTTCAAGAGGTTTAGCAATCCACAATGCCAGAAACTATCCCCATTTGATAATCTGCATGATTCAGAAGACAGGGAATGGGGAGTATGCTTTCTTTCTTTTTCGTTAGGTTGTCTTCTTCCAGTTTACCTGAAGATAAATGTCCCACAACTGAGATGAAGGATTTCCACATATTAAACCACATGGATTTGACTTCTAACACGAAAAGCCCACCATTTACTCACAATATTTCAAAGGAATCAAAACCAGAATTTCTATTAAGTTTGGACATTGGAATCTGGCCTTCTAATATAAGTGAAAGCAGAATCCCAGCACTTAAAAGATTTTGGAAAGTTTCATTTGTGTCTTCATCTGTCTTCCTATCGGTCTAAGCGGGAGTTTCCAAAATAGCACAGCTGCTGAATCAAATGTAATAAATTGTTTTGGACATTTTATCAGTCATAGCTCCCAAGAGTGACTGTTAATATGATATGATCCCTACCCCAATTTCAGGGCTTGAAATAAGATGATGGTGGTAGCTAAATTTAATATATCAAGGCGGCTGAGAACCTTTTGAGAAACAATATTTCAGCAGAAATAGGTTTTATTTTTATTTTTAATTTTATTTAGTTTTTAGCCAGTAAGGAAAAATTTCATCTTTCTCAGCAAGGAAAGGTCCAGCAGGGTCAAGAACAAGCACAAACATTTTAGTAAGTGAGTAGCAAGACTAACATTCTCCTTCCTATCTACTGGAAGTTAACTGAGGAAGAGAAAGGAGAAGGGATGTTGCCCACATAAAATGTATTTGTGTTTGTTTTCATTTAAATAACGTGGGCCAAGCGTGGTAGCTCATGCCTATAATCCTAGCAGTGAGAGTTGAGGCAGGAGGATTGCTTGAGCCTGGAGTTTTGACACCAGCCTGGACAATATAGTGGGACCATGTCTCTCCAAAAAATTTTAAAAATTAGCTGGATATATTAGTCCATTTTCACACTGCTGATAAAGACATACCCAAGACTGGGAAGAAAAAGGAGTTTAATTGGACTTACAGTTCCAATTGGCTGGGGAGACCTCAGAATCATGGCAGGAGGAGAAAGGCGCTTCTTACATGGTGGCGGCAAGAGAAAATGAGGAAGAAACAAAAGCGGACACCCCTGACAAAACCATCAGATCTCTTAGGACTTATTCACTACCACGAGAGCAGTATGGGGGGAGCCGCCCCCATGATTCAAATTATCTCCCACTGGGTCCCTCCCACAACAAATGGGAATTATGGGAGTACAATTCAAGATGAGGTTTGGGTAGGGACAGAGGGCCAAACCTATCACTGGGGATGGTGGTACACACCTATGGTCCCAGATACTCAGTAGGCTGAGGTGGGAGGATCACTTAAACCCAGGTGGTAGAGGTTGCAGTGAGCTGTGATTGTTCCACTGTACTTCAGCCTGGTGGGTGATAGAGTGAGACCCTATCCCAAAAAATAAAATAAATAATGAAATAATGTGTAGTTATCCAGACAGTCTTACTTCAAAATTATACCAGATGAGATTTTCTGAAATGTGAGTATAAAGAAGTGTGCCACGTCTATGTTAATGCATGTGATATATCTAAGGAAATGCTTTTCCGTTTTAGTGACTTGCATCCAGAAATGATCTAATTTGAAAAAAATGTAAAATATTTGTTGAATAATTCAAAATTTTGTTTCTATATATTTGCATCTCTATTGAGAGTTGAAGTCCTCATTAGCTCTCACCTAAAGTGTTACAAGGGCCTCTTAATTAGTCTCCTTGTACCTAGTCCTTGTCATCATGCAAATCCATCCTGCACATTATTCGCAGAGTGGACCATCTAAAGAGCAAATGAAATTATGCCATTCTCCTGCTTTGAGCTTTTCTCCAGGTGCTCATCATTACTAGAATGAAATCTAAGTTCCTTATATGAGCATTCTGCCATTCCATGACAGATTTTGCCCTCCTTTTCAACCTCATCATCAACCAGTCTCTTCTTCAAACAACAGTTCTCAACAATACTCAAAACTAATGTACTTTTAGATCTAGCATAAATCCTGCACTGATCTTATCTTCAGCTCATGCTCTCATCTGATTTCCCAATCTTTTTTTTTTTTAATTTTTATTTTAAGCTCAGGGGTACATGTGCAGGTTTGTTATGTAGGTAAACTTGTGTTATAGGGGTTTGTTGTACAGATTGTTTCATCACCCAGGTATGAAGCCTAGTGTACATTTCTTATTTTTTTCTGATCCTCTTTCCCTGCTCTCACCCTCTACCCTCCACCCTCTTAGAGGCCCCAGTGTGTGTCATTCATCTTTCTAAATCAACTCTGATCTCAATTGTTACTCTTTTAACATCTTTCTATATCTATTCATTTCCATGACCAAGTTGGGCATAATGTTCTTCTATACATCAGTAACATCCTATGTAAAACTCTAAAACTTCTACATTATGCTAAAATTATCTTTGTGCATATGTATTTATCTTTCACCATCACACAAATTCTATTAGATAAAGAGCTTATTCATTGTGTTTTTTTTCCAGCACTTAGATTTTTCGTTTAACATATGATTGGTGCTTGACTAATATTTCTTCAACAAAAATGACTTAAAATGCTCTAAGAGGGAATGATTTCCATTTAAGTGATTTATTTGGAGAAAAACACATGTGGTAACAGAGAAAAATAGAAAGTAGAGAACAAGAGGATATCCTTTTAAGAAGTCCTCAATTTTCTCTGCTACCTAGAAGTGAAAGGTCAGCCATAACATGTCTGTCTACAAATGGGTTCTTACAATGGATATTTAGGATGCGGGGAAAAAAGTATGCCTCCTGCAACAAATGATAGATAGGAAAAGAATTCCAAAGCCTAAAAAATTGCTGCAGAGCTTTATGACCCAGTAGCAACATGTAGGAAAGTAACTGAGTCTCCTTATTTATTTTCCTCTTTTTTGCTCCATACAACACATTTTGAATGAACTGTCTATGCCCTTAGGTAGAGAGGATTTTTCCGTATGTTTTACTGGCAGAGCCATGTGTGATGGTTGGTAGACCAACACTGGATAATGATTTAACAAATGCATTCAGAACCTCAGCTAAAAATATCATTCCAAAGGTGCTATTTAGAATCTTGGGCTCATTCAGTTCATAGAAAACACCATTACATAATTCAGTTTTGTTAATAAGGACTCAGTTATTTTGCTTATTGATCTCTTGTCTCTTGGTAAGGATTTGTTAAGAGATGTTGGATGTCCTGGCTAATGGGATTTTTCTCCGAACAGGTGTTCTATTCAAGTCTTGTGGGAATGAGAAACATGGCACAAAGAAGAGCTGAGAAAGAGGGAAGTCTTAGAGCGAAAGACAAACAAATTGGACACTGATTGCTCAGGATAGAGTGACAGAAAGAATAATGGGTGTATCTCATTCTGCTTGGTTGGCAATTTATCGGAGTGTAGGATTGTCAAGCTGATTCTGGCTTTCAGTTGTCTGAAACAAAGGAAACGAAATTTGCCATGATTGGTGCTTGGATATCTGCTGTAATTTAAAGCCTGAAATCTGAGTACTCTGATAAATATATAGCAGAAATAGATGAAATGCTAACTCAATATGAGATTTTGGCTTATCACATTGAAAGTAATTTCCCAAGCACTTTGTAAAATGACTTGGTACATTTTGGCTACAATCTAAGGCAAAAAAATTGCTCTTGGACCAAAAACCTGGTTTGGGTAAGACTCTGAATGTCCTACTGGGATTTCAATGGATTATTTTTTTCTAGGCTGATAACCTTTTTAAAAAGGGATTATGAATCATTAAGGCAAATGTGAACCTAATAGCCTGGGTAACTGGGAATCCATATGGCAGGGAGGCCTTGGGATGCTCTTTGTGGCTAGTATTGCCAAGGTTCAGGGACCAAATGGAAGCCAAGTTGCTGAGAATGCATGCTTCAGTCAGATTTCTAGGGAGCCCATACCGAGTGTCTAAAAGAAAACCGTATGAAGAAGGGGTATGTATATACAGTACAGACATACAGATACAAACATACACATACATATACATTTGACCACAGTAGCTATTGTCTCCAATTTTACGTGTGAAAAATCTGAAGCTCAAAATTATTAAGAAAAGTATGATTCCGAACTAAAATTTGAGTTTATGTGCATCTGGTTCAAAACTCATAGTCCTTTCACTATGTGTAGCTGGTATCCCCAAGTGTTGTTTGATGGTCGGTGTCAGAATCTTTTGGGAACCCCCATTAAAGATAGAGCTTACTCAGTCATCTGCCTTGCCCAAGATTCTAACATAGTAGGTGTTAGAAGAAGGCCGTGAGATTACTGTGTTTTAAACATGTCCCAGGAAATATGAATTTCCATCCAGGTTTGGATACCCCAATATCACACCTCACTATAAAGACAAGAGGCATGTTATAGGAATGGAGATGTAAAGTCATGATTCATTTTATTATCAAAAGTCAGTCCATTGACTATGTACTGAGCTATATAGAGATGTCTTTTCTGGCCAGCAAAAGCCTCATCTCTCAATGCAACACCCCTATAAAGGCACCTTCCCTGTGTCTTTGGATTAGTCATAAAGCACTGCAGTGAGATAGAAAGAACATAGGCTATCATTAGAAACACTGGGTTCAAATTCTGCTTCCGGCTCTTGCAAATTATCAAGTAAAATAACTCATACAAATTTTTTGGTCTCTATTAACATCATCCCTAAAATGGGCATAATGCATTTTATTAGTTTGCTAGAACTGCCTTGACAAAATACCAGAGTCTAGGTGGCTTAAAGAAGAAAAATTTCTTTTCTCACAATTCTGGAGACTGGAAGTCTGAGATCAATCCTTTCTCCTTGTCTTGTAGATAGATTTCTTCCTCCAGTTTTCACATGGTCTTCCCTCTGTGTATATCTGTCCCTAATCTCTTCTTATATGACACCAGTCATATTGAATTAAGACCCACACTCATGACCTCATTTTAACTTAATTACTTCCTTAAAGACCTTATCTACTAATAGAATCATGTTCTTTGAGATATTGGGGCTTACAACTACAATATATGAATTTAAATGGGAGAAACACTATTCAGCTTATAATATCTCTATTTAACTTTTTTAAAGGAGTTATTTTAAAAACTAAAATGCATTATGCAGAAATTAAATTATATTTTAAAATTTAAAATTTTCTGTAGAATTATTGTATTAAAGATGTTTCAAATTACCCTGTTACTAGAACATAAATATCAAAAAAATGTTGTCTTTGCTTTTGGTTAAATTATTATCCCACTTTACCAAAATAGAGTATCTTTCTATTTTTTTCTTTGTCTAGAATTAATATCAGTTGATAACCAAATATCTACAGATTAGAGTGGACTGGCAGGAATAAGTAATTTGATGTGGTAGCCTAAATTAGGATATCTACCTATCTATCTATCTATCTATCTATCTATCTATCTATCTATCTATCTGTCTATCTATCTATCTATCTAGATATATAAACACATACAAACAGGCACACATATATGCTTATATAATTTACCAGGTATATAAATAGCCAAATATTTCTACCAGCTAGTTTGAAGGCACAAATGCTTAAGAGGCAGAAAAAAAAAGGTTTATTTAATGCTTATTTTATGCAAGCCATTATTATCCTACACATTTAACATACATATATTGTCTCACTGAATCCTACTCCAAACTCTTTGAGGAAGGTACTATTTTTATTCCCATTAAAAACAATTCTGAAAAATTAAATATTTCCCTAGGTCACATGATGAATAAATGGTAGAGTGTGAATTCAACTTTAGTGTTGCCTTGTTCTTGAGTCCAAGATTTATCAACTAAAGACATTATCATTTACCAAGTATCCCACCATGCAGGTACATTATATATTAACTCACACATTGTTCTACTTCTAGTTAGCTACAGTGAGAATGCTAGCTGTTCTGTGTCTAGGACAATGTAATTGTTTAGTAGCAATTTTTTTTCCAACTCCAGAAATTGAATGCATAACACCAGGGCACCTGATGAAAAATCAGACATTAATCCCTGCTATTTTGAACAAGATTATATAAAGGACTTATAAAATGCTATTTCATATTTATTAAGAACAAGGAAGTAACACACTAGTCTAGTGGTCCCCAAGCTTTTTGGCACCAGGGCTCAGTTTCATGGAAGACAAGTTTTCCATGGACTAGGGGTGGGGATGTTGTTGAGATAATTCAAGTGCAATAATTTTATTGTGCATTTTATTTCTATTATTATTACATTGTAATATATAATGAAATAATTTGCAACTGACCATAATGTAGAATTAGTGGGAGCCCTGAGATTGTTTTCCTGCAACTAGATGGTCCCATCTGGGGGTGTTGGGAGACAGTGACACATCATTAGGCATTAGATTCTCATAAGGAGCACACAACCTAGATCCCTTGCATGCACAGTTTACAATAGGTTCACACTCCTATGAGCATCTGATGTCTCCACTAACTTGACAGGAGGCAGAGCTCAGGCAGTAATGCTAGCAATGGGGATGGCTGTAAATACTGATGAACTTTGCTTGGTCTCCTGATACTCAGCTCCTGCTTTGCAGCCCAGTTCCTAACAGGCCACAAACTGGTACTCGTCCATGATTCAGTAACTGGGGACCCCTGCACTAGTCAATACAAATATCACGTGCACACACACACACACACACTCCATGGTGTTTCAGCTTTAAATGACAAAATAACTTTGAAAATTTCTGAAGGACCAAGTAAGTTATATTTCCGCCTTAGATATCAGCCATGTTAAAGGGTTGAAACTCAGTGAATTTGTTTCATTTGGGGATTTTATTTCACCAGCCAATTTCTCTTTATGTCTAGGTGGGAAAAACTGAGGTGAAGAAAACAAGGTTCATTTTGACTCAGACACATTATTCAGAAGGATTTCTTAAAATCAGAATTTAATTTATCTTTTTGAGCAAGTCGAAGTAAAAACAAGCAATAAATTTTGTTCTGAGCTCTTCTCCCTCTGGTAACTGGCTTATATAATAAAGTTTTATTTCACCTGAACTTTCTTATTGCATTTGACGATCAATCATACTCTTATGTGTGTTCTGCACAGTGGCTCATGCCTGTAATCCTCGCACTTTGGGAGGCCCAGGCAGGTGGATCACCTGAGGTCAGGAGTTCGAGACCAGCCTGGCCAACATGGTGAAACCTCGTCCTACTAAAAATAAAAATTAGCTGGGCGTGGTGGTGCGTGCCTATAATCCTAGCTAATCGGGAGGCTGAGGCAGGAGAATCGCTTGAACCTGGGAGATGGAGGTTGGAGTGAGCCTAGATCGCACCATTGCACTCCAGCCTGGGTGGCAGATCAAGACTCCATCTCAAAAGAAAAAAAAGTGGTTATAATTCAGCTTTAAAAAATTTTGCCTTAAGATTTTAAACTAAATTTAATTCTAGTGAATAGCAGCTACATTTGAAGAGTGCTTACTATTTGCTGGATAATGAGCAGGGGGTAGCCCTCTATTTGTGGCCTTGTCTGCAAAGTAACGGACCTCTCATGCAACCTGACAGAATTCTAGAAGGTCATGGTTTATGGCAGTGCAAACGCAGTCCTAGAAAGAAATGATCACTTTCTTAAAAGGCATCTAGTGTGTTGGAACTTTTATTTTCAAGGTGGAAGTACCTGTATATGCTTTATTTAACTCCTTATGGGGTTTTGAGTGGGAACCTTATAAATAGTTGTGCTTGTTTTCTGTCTTTGAGATTAATTGAGACTAATGTTGAGACTAATGTTGAAGTGACTACAATTTAACTGAAACTTCTGTTAGTCAGAAAGCAGGCAATCCATTCTGTAATAGATAGCACCTGTACAGCCAAAGTAAAATAGTTTTGCTGTTGGCGGGGGTGAATGGGACTTGGAAAGAAAGTTGTAAACAAAACCATAACCTTGAGAAATTACTCATCAATTAACATCAATCAAGGAATGCCAAAAAATATCTAATTTACTTTATTCTTCTTTTTCTTTTTCATGATCTGTCTAGTGAGTTGAAAATGTTTTTGAAGGGAAGCATAGTCTGACGGGAGCTGATAGAGAAATTCCTATAACAGTAAATCATCTACTTGATTTAATTTATGCTACTAAACAATAGCCAGGGACTTAAGGTCATTAGTCCTGAGAAGGTAAATTGATTCAACAGGGGTATTCAGAATCAAAAGTAATTTAGGATGGAATTGAAGATTAGCGATATACAGATACAGAAAACATTTGGCACCAGATTCCTTTAAGACATCTTACAGTGGGGCTGTTTATATATCCGCAAATTTCAGAATGGATGTTTTGCTCTCAGTAACTTGGTAAATATTCTGAAGAGTAACCTATGTTTTTCTGTACTTGTTGTGGATGACTCAAGACTCAGGTGGATGACTCAAGACTCAGCTTGGTGGGCAGGGTAAACCCAGCCCCTCTGAGGCAATGAGAGGGAGAAATGCCCAATATTATCTTAGAGAAAAGAGAAATGGCAGGAGCCAGCCAGAGAAACAAAGGAGATCCTTTTGTTTTACTGTCAAGTTGGCTACCATGCAGAGATGTGACATCATGATGGACAGGACTCAGAGATATGTAAGGAAGACATCCACTTCCTCACCTGGGGTAGCATGAATAATGGCTCCCATAGATATCTGGCTCTTAACCCCTTGAACCTATGAATGTTACCTTACATGGTAAAAGAGAATTTGCAGATGTGATTTTGAGATGAGGAGATTATACTGCAGAAAAGAAGGCCATGTGACAGAAGCAGATGGAAGCAGAAGGAAGCAGAGTCAGACAGAAAAGATTTTATACTGCTGGCTGTGAAGATGAAGGAAGGGGTTATGAGCCAAAAAAAAGAAAGTTTAGGAATGCAGCTCTAGAAGCTGGATAAAACAAGGACACTGACTTTTCCTTAGAGCCTTCCATGAGAACCTGACCTGTTAACAATTTGACTTTAGCACAGTGAAACTGCTTTTAGACTGCTGACCTCTAGACTGTAAAAGAAGAACTTTGAATTTAAGACACATTTTTGGTAATTTGTTACAGAGGTAACAGAAAACTAATATATCACTCATAAAGAAGTTTAAGTAGGAACTCCCTGGACCCCCTTAGTGATTCTGAATGATTCTGCAACACTGATTAACCCTGAGGATAGGTGGGCAAGGGTCTTTGTTAGGTATCATCAAAAAGAGAGAGACTTTCAGGTACTCCATTTCTCCATCAAAATCCATGGTGCTGAAGCTATTTATATGCTTAGTATTGTCTTTTGCCCTTTTTACCTTTATTTCCTTATTTCCTTTTCCTTTTTCCTTTTATTAACCTCCACAAGCCCCATCCCCCACTGAAAAAATGTTTTTTTCTTTTAGCACAAAGATTGAGAAAATGCTGTTGTCCCCCAAGAAAAGAGATTTTTCAGCAAGATGTGGGGAAGACCAGTAATGAAAGGGTTGTGAGATCTTGAATTTGCAAGTAATAGACTGCCTCCTGGACCTTCCCCATTGAGATCTGTCCTCTGATATGAGTGAGGAATCTTTTTGTCCATATCTTGAGCATTTTAAACAAAAGTTAAGCTTCACTTTAGATTAAACTGCATCTCCAAACTTTCTTTGAAAACTAATGCTGTTAGAAATAAAAGACAAGTTTGTATATGTATATGTGTGTATCTTATTATGCCATGAATAGTAGCAATTATTAATATTATTTATTTGTCTGAATGAATTGTCAATGAAAGCTATTTTACACATGATTTTTTTCAGATTACAATTATATTATCTCCTCTCCAGGAATTCAGATTGGATATAGACCAGAACAAAGGGATTATATAATAGTTGGCATTAAAATAAAATTATGCCCTTGGAACTACATTTAAGAGTCACTACAGCAATACCATTTTTCCTAATGACACTAAAAAATGTGTTTAGTCAGTAACTTTAGCTAGACTCAAGAATTCAAAGTAGAATTCAGAGATATAATTTAAATCCTATTAACCATATATTTTAGCTATGCATTGATATTTATGTACAATTTTTGCCTGTGCAATTATGTAGTCCACACATAAATATAAATTGGATCATTGTAGAATTGTAATTTTCTGTTACAGAAAATTAGTGACTAGAACTATCTGAATAAATAGAATGCTTAGAAGGAAATGTTATGTTAGATGCTCAACTTCAAGACAGTAATGTGCATGGGCAAATTGTGTGAACATTCATACTTTCCATTACTTCTGGTAGTGTGGTTGAAATCAAGACTAACTATAGAAGCTTATGCAGGCACAGAAAAGAGAGTACCGAAAATATATATTTTCTGTAACTCCTACAAGAAAATGAAGTTGATGGAATGGGTTATAGTCTGGATTTGACATATTTTTCTATTGTAATATTAGTGAAAATGGCAACAATAGACAAGGTAAAGCCAAAGTGTTTCTTTTCCAAACACGATTCAGTGACCTGGAGAAACATTATGCTCTTGTGACATCATCGTATTCGTGAAATGAATATCCACTCATGCCTGGTGTATGTGATAACTGACAATGCTGTCTTCCTGTTTTAAAGCCAGAGCTGTATTTTCTGGAAAACTGCCTGGTAATTAAAGTTTCTAAATTGTAACACAGACTCTTTTGATTTAGACTCAAATCATTTATATTGTGTAGTGTAGTAATATGATTGATTGTAGTATCAACTTATTAATGCCATGATGCCTAGCATTACGGTGATCTCCATGAAGGATGTGAGTAAATACTTTAATTTTTATTTTTAGGGAGTTATCATCATGAGTAAATAAAATTTGAACAAGTGGAGTAGAAAACTAATAAATCAAAAAACAAAAGCCTTCAAAAAAGCCCCCACATGAGTTATTTCTACTCTGGTCTCCTCATGAGCCACCCTTTAACTCCCTTTCTATGCTTCAACAATATGGGCCTTATTTCTTTTGTTTAAATTCCTTTTGCTTTTTCCAATTAGGTGTTCTTTGCACATGCTGTTTTCTCTGGGGGAATATTCTACCCTGCTCATTTATCATTTATTTAACTCCTTCCATTCATCCAATCTCGACTTAAGCATAACTTCTTCAAGGAACTCTTTTATAGCCTCCTTCATCCTGGCCCCCAATCTATATTCTCTTAAAACCATGCTATTCCATTGTAGCTCATATTTCAGTTTGTCATTGGATGTTTGTAGGATTTTTAAATATTGATATGTTTCCTTCACAATATTGTAAAACTCATGAAATTAGAGTTTGAGTGTATCTCATTTCCATTTTTTTCAAAGACCCTTGTAAATTCTTGGGCTATGGATAGATAAATCATAGATGTAGGTATAGTGATTAAAGTTCAGTAGTATTATGGGAAGTTGGAAAGTGAAGAGCTCAGTGTACACCATGCTAACTAGCTTTGAGGTGTCCGGGATGGAGAGGAGATGCCTAGATAAAACTTGATTTTATTCTGTTTGTTTGTTTGTTTGTTTGTTTTGAGACAGGGTCCCCCTTTGTCATCCAGGCTGGAGTGCAGTGGCGCGATCTCCGCTCACTGCCACCTCCGCCTCCCAGGTTCAAATGATTCTCCTGCCTCAGCCTCCTGAGTAAGTGGGATTACAAGTGTGCACCACTGTGCCCAGCTAATTTTTGTATTTTTAGTAGAGACGGGGTTTCACCATGTTGGTCAGGCCGGGCTCAAACTCCTGACTGCGGATGATCTGCCTGCTTTGTCCTCCCAAAGTGCTGGGGTTACAGGCATGAGTCACCGTGCCTGGCCAATTTTATTCTTTTAAAAATATTTCAGAAAACATATAGATGAAAGCTTCTCAAAGTGATGAGGCATCATGTTAAGTGGTTAAGCACGCAGGCTATGGAATTGCAAAGCCTGAGTTTGAATTTCATCTAAGCCAGTTACTGGAAAACCTCAGGCACTTTATTTTCCTTCTCTATGATTTATTTTTTAAATATCTGAAATAGATATAATAATAGCTTGCTTTATGCATTGTCATAACAGTTAAAGTACAATAATGTAATATTTCCTGTTTCCTCATTTGCATTACAATTTTTGCATGCCTATGTTTCACCGGTATCTATTTTTATTCTTTTATAAAATTCGACTCTGTGTCCTTCCTTTCAAAAACAAAAACAAAAAAAACAAACACTTATTTTTAAAGCACTTTTAGGCTGACAGAAAAATTGAGAGGAAGGTACAGAGATGTCCCATGTACCCCCTGTCCTCATATTTATGTAGCCTCCCTCAATATCCACATCCCCCTCGAGTAGTACATTTGTTACAGTTGATTATCCTACATTGAAACATCATTATCACCTAAAGCGCATAGTTTATATTAGAGTTCACTCTTGCTATTGTACATTTTACTGGTTTGGGCAAATATATAATGACATGTATCCACCATTATAATTTCATACACAATATTTTTCACCACTCTGAAGACTCTCTGTGCTCTGCCAATACATCCCTTCCTCTCTCTAATTCCTGGCAACAATTTATTTTTTTAATTGTTCCTATAGTTTTTTTTTTCTTTTTCAGAATGTCATGTAGTTGGAATCCAGTATTTAGTCTTTTTTCACTTAGTAATATGCATTTAAGTTTCTTCCATGTCTTTGATAACTAATTTCTTTTTAGAACTGAATTCCATTGTCTGAATGTACCTCAGTTTATCTGTTCACCTACTGAAAAACATTTTGGTTGCTTCCAAATTTTGACAATTATAAATAAAGTTTATAATAACATTCATATGCAGATCTTTGTGTGAATATATATTTTTAACTTCTGTGCACAAATAGCAAGGAGCATGATGGTTGGATCATATGGTAAGAGAATGTTTGGTTTTGTCAGAATCCACCAAATTGTCTTCCAAAATGGTTGTACTTCCACCATCAATTAATGAGAGTTCCTGTTGCTCCATATCCTCACCAGCATTTGATGTTGTCAGTGTTCCAGATTTGGGCCATTCTAATAAGTGAGCAGTTATATCTCATCGTTGTTTTAATTTGCATTTCTCTGATGGCATATGATGTCATCTAGTCATATACTTATTTTTCATATGTAAATCTGCTTCAGTGAGCTGTCTGTTAAGGCCTTTGGCTCATTTTTTAATTGAGTTGTTTTCTTGTTGAGTTCTTTGAAATTTTGGATAATAATCCTTTGTTAAATGTGTCTTTTGCAAATACTTTCTCCCAGTTTCTGGCTTATCTTCTCCTTCTCTTGATATTGTCTTTCATGAGAAGAAGTTTTTAATTTTAATGAAGTCTAATATACCAATTATTTGTTTCATGGATCATGACTGTAGTGTCATATCTAAATATTCATCATCAAACCCAAGGTCATATATATTTTCTTCTCTGTTATCTTCTAGGAGTTCTGAAGTTTTGTGGCTTACATTGAGGTTTGTGATCCATTGTGATTAGTTTTTGCAAAGAGTCTAAGATTCTGTGTATAGATTTATTTTTTTCAACATGTGAATGCTGTATTGTTTGAGCATCATTTCAAAAAGCTGTATTTTCTCCTTTGGTATGCCTTTGCTTCTTTGTCAACACCAGTTAACTATATTTAGGTGGGTATACTTCTGAGCTCTCTATTCTATTTCTTGATTTGTTTGTCTATTCTTTTACCAGTATCACACTATCTTGATTACTGTAGCTTTATAGTCAATCTTGAAGTTGTGTAGGGTTGGTCCTCTAACTTTTTTCTTCTTCAATATTGTGTTGAGTATTCTGGGTCTTTTGCCCCTCTATATTAACTTTAGAATCAGTTTGTCAACATCCACAAAATAACTCTCTAGTGCTTTAAGATTGCATTAAATCTGTAGATCAAGTTGGGAAGAGCTAACATCTTGATACTGTTGAGTCTTCCCATTCTCTCTCTTTATAAAAATATAGTCTTATCCCAAATTGGAATAACTATAAAGTTATGGTTTTGTTCTGTTATTATAGCTATGGCTTTCTAGTATGCATTAGATATACTCTCAGGTATTTAAAATGTTCACGATTTATCTGTGAGCCACTAGTAATTATTTTGCATTCCAACAACAATATGGAAAAGGAACACCAGAACAAGGACGTTAGGAAAGTAGGCCACAGAGAAAATACGCAAATCCAGTCCTTCTTCCCTCCCAGAATCAAGTCTTTTATGAGACTTAATTCTTCTGTGAGCCTACATCAGAGGTGAAACATTGAGACAAGAAAATGAAAATATTGATTGCTTTACTTAAATACAATTTTCAAATAAAATATCTTATACTACTTCTAATTTTTGTTAGAATAGGCTGTTCACAGTGCCCTGTTTCACATTGTCATGAAATTAGATTTTCGTCTTTACCACTACTACCTAAAATATAACAGTAAATTAAAAAAATTATCTACATATTAACCATTAGACAAGTATTATTTTCATTCCTAATTTAGATTAAGAGCATTAAGGTCAGAGAGATTTCCATAACTTGTGCCAGTTTATTACTCTTGGGATGATGACTAATGTAGTGCTACTGCATAGTTTCTCTCTCTCTCTCCTTCTCTTTCTGTCTTTCTTTTTAAATTGGCCTAAACTACAGTTCCAGTCCCAAAGTGTGTGTAGGGTGCAAATAAATGCTGTTGGTATTTTTTTTTAATTTCTGGGTTAAACAAGGTAAACAAATCACTTGAATTCAGGATCTCTCACAGATTATTAACATGCTAACTTGCATTCATGTAATCTATGGAATCACTCTTGTAGAACTCCTTTTCAGCAGAACATATTTGAGGGAAACGTTGGCCAGATGCTTTCTCTTTTGTATTATCACATCAATAAGTATATCATTCTAATGGCATAACACTTCCAAAAACACATGTAAAAAAATTGGCATGCTTTGGGTGTAAGCTTGGCTAAATTGTAGAAAGTTCATCGGTAGCAGATAGACTATTATAATATGCAACATTCAGACAAAACCAGGAGAGCTTAGACCAATGATATCAGATCACCTAGTCCAGAAGTGTGAACTGTCTGAATTCACAGTGTCTAACATCCCACTTCCTAACCCCTTCTCTAGGAGGTCAAGTTGAAGGATGGAGGATTAAAGTCATGCCAAAAATGGCACTAGAAGTCCACGATCCAAAATGTAGAAGAGTATTGTATGTGAGTCTAAGGTTTAAGATCAGGTGGTCTGAACCACCTAACAGAGACATAATTCTGCAGCTCCTGCCCTACACAATGGCACTGTGGTAAGATGGTGATTAGGGCCCCTTACCCATGAGTCATTAGTCCTGGTCTATAGTCAGCCTGGATTCTGGAGGAAGGCGTGTATGTCTTTTTGCAATTTAACTGCCCCAAAAGACTTTTTTTGTAATTTTTACAAAGACACAGTGTGATCTACCAGTAGATATAAAATCAAGAGGGCAAATTGTTTGAGATCACATCTGGTACCTATAACATCATTCATAATGTTTAACTTGCTGTATGCATTTTTTGATAAATGTTTTGGGAATGGGTGGGTCTAGCTTAATTACTTGAAGAGGAGAAGTATGCAATAGCTAACTGAAATGACTAGCTAAAAACAAAGATGATTGAATATATCACATACTGTTGGGAGCTATTAATTTTCTGTTTATATTTTCAGAAACAAAGTTCTAGTTTTGCAAAATAAGGTGAACGCTATAAACTCATAGCCACTAATGAAAACTTATTATCATCCTCTTTTTTAAATATGGAAGCCAGCTTGGTTTTGATAATATTTCTAGCTATGTAAATACTTGAATGTTGGTAGTGTTCATCTTCAAATTTGGTTTGACATATTAATTAGAATATATTTTCACATTCTCCTTAGTAGAAGTTTGCTAGTTTAAGAGCTTTAGGAATGTATTCTACTATGATTCTTTAAAAAAACATGAATTATCTACAGGTTGAATTGTATGAAATTGTCAATATTTAACCATTTTATCCCCAAAAATGGATACTGTACATAGCTCAATTAAATAGAAAACATTTAGAAATACCGTATGTGATATTTAGTTTATTTAAATTACCACCATCCACCAGAAAAAAAGAGTTAACAACAACATGGCTTTGGAAGGACAAAAATAGGTCATTAGTATAAACAATCCATACAATATTTAACTATCCCTGAGAATGCCCTCTTGATATATATACAAATTGGGAAGAATTAACAACATGAATAGTGGCTTTATTCACTTTTAACATATATTATAATCACTTTTAGTATAAATATGTTTAAATTGTATAGGTGGGAAACTACTACCTTTGCATTTTGCATAGCGACACACTTATCCATGTCCTCACATTTTTTAGGTTTGTTTCACAGAGTAATTTTGGTGGATAAAATTTAGACTCATATTTCTGCTCATAATTGCTCTGTGAAAGATGAGATGTAGTTGTTTTCTTTCCCCTTCTTTTTGTTCCCAAGTTGATAGTTATTTTTTTCTCATGATTAGGGATGCTGAGCATTTTTTCATGTTCTTGGTCACTTGTATGCCTTCTTTTGAGAAATGTCTGTTCATGTACTGTGCCCATTTTTAAATGGAGCTATTTGTTTGAGTTCCTTGTACATTCTGGATAGATCCTTGTCACATGCAGAGTTAGCACATATTTTCTCCTATTCTGTAGGTTGTCTGTTTGCTCTGTTGATAGTTTCTTTTGCTGAGCTGAAGATCTTTAATTAGGTCCCATTTGTCAACTTTTGTTTCGGTTGCAATTGCTTTTGGAGACTTTGTTGTGAAATCTTTCCCAAGGCCTATGTCCAGAATGGTATTTCCTAGGTTTTCTTTTAGGGTTTTATATTTTTACATTTTATGTTTAAGTCTTTAATCAATCTTGAGTTGATTTTTATATATGGTGAAATGAGTACAGTTTCAAACTTCTGCATATGGCTAGCCAGTTATTCCATTATTTATTGAATAGGGAATCCTTTCCCCATTGCTTATTATTGACTTTGTTGAAGATTAGATGGTGGTAGAAATGCAGTTTTATTTCTGGGTTGTCTAACCTGTTACATTGGTCTATGTGTCTATTTTTATAACAACATCATGCTGTAGTATAATTTCAAGTTGGGTAGTGTGATTCCTCCAGCTTTGTTCTTTTTGCTTAGGATTACATTGGCTATTTAGTCTTTTTTTCCCCTGATTTAATATGAATTTTAGAATATCTTTTTTTCCTAATTCTATGAAAAATGAAATTTGTAATTTTATAGGAATAGCATTGAATCTGCAATTACTTTGGGCATCTGACCATTTTAACAATATCAATTTTTCCTATCCATGAGCATGGAATGTTTTTCCATTTGTTTGTGTCATCTCTGATTTCTTTCAGCAGTGTTTTGTAATTCTCCTTGTGGAGATATTTCACTTCCCTAGTTACCTATATTTCTAAGTATTTTATTCTTTTTGTGGCTATTGTGAATGTGATTGTGTTCTTGATTTCGCTCTTAGCTTGGATGTTATTGGTGTATAATGCTACTGAATTTTATACCTTACTTTTGTATTCCCACACTTTACTAAAGTTGTTTATCAGTTATAGGAGCCTTTGGCCAGAGACTATGGGGTTTTCTAGGTATAGAATTATATCGTCTGCAAAGAGAGAGAATTTAACTTAGTCTTCTCCTATCTTGATGCCTTTTACTTCTTTCTCTTGCCTGATTGCTCTGGCTAGGACTTCTAGTAAAATGTTGAATAGGAGTGCTGACAGTGGGCATCCTTGTCTTTTTTCATATCTCAAGGGGAATGCTTCCAGGTTTGCCTGTTCAGTATGATGTTGGCTGTGGGTTTGAGATAGATGGCTGTTATTATTTTGTGGTACATTCCTTCGACTCCTAGATTGTTGCGTTGTTTTGTTTTTTAACATGAAGGGATGTTGAATTTTATTGAAAGAGTTATGTGTCTGTTGAGATTATCATGTGATTTTTGTTTTTAGTTCTGTTTATGTAATGAATCACATTTATGGATTTGCATATGTTGAACCAACTGTGCATCTCAGGAATAAAGCCTACTTGATTGTGGTAGATTAGCTTTTTGATGTGCTGCTGGATTCCATTTGCTAGTATTTTGTTGAAGGTTTTTGCATCTATGTTCATCAGACATATTGGCTTCAAGTTTTCATTTTAATTCTATCACTTCCAGGTTTTGGCATCAGAACAAAGCTAGCTTCACAGAATGAGTTAGGGAGTAGTCCCCCTTCCTTGATATTTGGGAATATTTTCAGTAGTATTGGTACCAACTCCCCTTTATACATCTGGTAGAATTTTTCTATGAATCCATCTGATCCAGGAATTTTTCTTATTGGTATGTTATTTTTTAATTACTGATTCATTTACAGAACTCATTATTGGTCTGTTCAGATATTAATTTCTTCCTGGTTCAATTTTGGGAGTTTGTATGTTTCCAGGAATTTATTCATTTCTTTTAGGTTTTCTAGTTTGTGTGCACAGTGGTGTTCATAATAATCTCAGGATTTTTTGTTTTTCTGGGGTCGATGGTAATGTAATTTTGTCATTTCTGATTGTGTTTATTTGGCTCTTCTCTCTTTTCTTATTAGTCTATTTAACAGCCTATCCATCTTATTTATTCTTTCAAAGTACCAACTTTTGGTTTTATTGATCTTTAGTATGGATTTTCATGTCTTGATTTTCTTCAGTTCAGCTCTGATTTTGAGTATTTCTGCTGAAAAAGTCTGCTAGCATTGGGGTTGATGTGCTCTTGTTTTTCTCGTTCTTTGAGGTGTAATGTTAGGTTGTTAATTTGAGATCTTTCTAAGTTTTTGATGAAGGAGTTTAGCACTATAAACTTTCCTCTTAACACTGGTTTGTCTATGTCCCAGAGATTCTGGTGTGTTGTATTTTTATTTTCATTAGTTTAATAATTTTTTATTATCTCTGACTTAATTTCATTATTTACTCAAAAGTCATTCAGGAGTAGATTGTGTACTTTCCATGTAATTCTATGGTTTTGAAAGATCCTCTTGATATTGATTTCTATTGTTATTGTGCTGTCTTCCAAGAGTATGATTGGTATAATTTTATTTTATTTTTTTAACTTTTTGAGAATTACTTTATGGCTGAGTGTGTTTGATCTTAGAGTATATGCCATGGGAAGATTAGAAGACTGTCTATTCTGTTGTTCAGTTGACTGTTCTGTATATGTAGATGTCTGTTAGGTCCATTTGGTCAAGGGTCAGATTTAAGTCCCAAATGTCTTTGTTAGTCTTTCCATTGATGATCTGTCAAACACTCTCAGTGGGGTGTTGAAGTCTCCCACTGTTATTCTGTGGTTATCTGTGTCTCCTGTTAGGTTTCTAACAACCTATATTATAAATTTGGGTACTCCAGTGTTGGGTACATAAATATTTAGGATAGTTAGGTCTTCTTGTTGAATTGAACCCTTTATCATTATGCAATGTTCTTCCTTGTCCTTTTTGATAACTGTTGGTTTAAAATTTTTGGTCTATTTTGTCTAAAATAAGAATAGCAATGCCTGCTCTTTTTTGTGTTCAATTTGTTTGATGGATCTTTCTCCTTTATTTTGAGCTTCTGGGTGTCAGTGAATGTGAGATGGGTCTCCTGAAGATAGCATGTCGTTACATCTTGCTTCTTTATCCAACTTGTCACTCTATGCCTTTTAAGTGCCACTTACATTTAAGGTTATTGTGGGTATCTGAGGATTTTATCACATCATTGTGTTGTTAGCTGCTTATTTTGTAGACTTGATTGTACAGTTGCTTTTTAGTGTCAGTCATCTATGTACCGAAGTGTATTTATTGTGGTGTCAAGTAATGGTCTTTCATTTCCATGTTTAGCATTCCCTTAAGGACCTCTTGTATGGCAGGTCTGATGGTAACAAACTCTCTTAGTGAAAGTCTGAAAAATATTTTATTTCACCTTTGCTTATCAAGCTTAGTTTGGATAGGTATACAATCCTTGTGTTTTTTAAAATTTATTTTTAATGCATTTTAAATGTATTTTTAATGCATTAATGCATGTTGCTGAATATAGGCCCCCAATCTCTTTTGGCTTTTAAAGTGTCTGCTGAAAGTTCTGCTGTTAGCCTGATGGGGTTCCCTTTGTTTGTGACCTGCCCCTTTTCTCTAGCTGCCTTCAGTATTTTTTCTTATGTGTTCATCTTGGAGAATCTGATGACTATGTGTTTTGGGGATGGCTGTCTTGCATACTACCACACAGGGGTTCTTTGAGTTTCCTGAATTTTCATGGCAACCTCTTTAGTGAGGATGGGGAAATTTTTGGATACAATATCCTTCAATATGTTTTCTAAGTGGTCTACTTCATCTGCTTCCCTTTCTGGGATGCCAATGAGTGATAGGTTTGGTCTTTATATAATTCCCTATTTCCCAGAGGCTTTTTTCCCCATTTTTAAAAAACTCTTTTTTTGTCTATGTGGAAAATGTATGTGTGTGTGTGTGTGTGTATGTGTGTGTGTGTGTATGTGTGTGTGTGTCTCACTCACCCAGGCTGGAGTGCAGTGGCATGATCATACATAGCTCACTGAAGACTCAATCTCTCAGACTCAAGCAATCCTCCCACCCCAGCCTGCTGAGTAACTGAGATTAAAGGCACACACCATGGTGCTTGGCTAATTTTTAAAAAATTTTTAAAAGACACGAGGTCTTGTCCTGTTGCCCAGGCTGATCTCAAACTCCTGAGTTCAAGCAATCCACCCTCCTCAGCTTCCCAAACTGCTGGGATTATAGGCATGAGCCACCACACCCAGCCTCTATATTTTTGTGTGACTGAGTTGATTCAAAGATTCAAAGAACCAGTCTTCCAGATCTGAGTTTCTTTGCTCAGCTTGGTCTATTCTGCTGTTAATACTTCCAATTGTGTTATGAAATTCCTGTAGTGTGTTTGATAGCTCTAGAAGATTAGTTTGGTTCTCTCTTAAAATGGTCATTTTGTCTTCTGATGTTCTATGACTTTATGGGATTCCTTAGATTCCTTGGATTGATTTCAACTTTTCCCTGAATCTTGATGATCTTCATTGCCATTCAGATTCTGAATTATATGTCTGTCATTTCAACCATTTCAGTCTGGTTAAGAATCATTGCTGAGATGCCCATGTGATGGAGGTTAATATTTCATCTCATTTTTATCATGGTCTATATGCACAGATTGAAAACATTTTTTCTTTCTTTCTTTTTTTTTTTTTTTTTTGAGATGGAGTCTTGCTCTGTCGCCCAGGCTGGAGTGCAGTGGCGCAATCTTGACTCACTGCAAGCTCCGCCTCCCAGGTTCACACCATTCTCCTGCCTCAGCCTCCCGAGTAGCTGGGACTACAGGCGCCCGCCACAACGCCCGGCTAATTTTTTGTGTTTTTAGTGGAGACAGGGTTTCACCCAGTTGGCCAGGATGGTCTCGATCTCCTGACCTCATGATCCGCCCACCTCGGCCTCCCAAAGTGCTGGGATTACAGGCGTGAGCCACTGCACCTGACGAAAACATTTTTTCAAAAAGATCTTATAGGTCAGTGGTTCTCAAAGTGTGTTCTGGGGACCTCAGATCTATACAGGTAGTCACTGAGGTCAAAACTATTTCATAATAATACCAAGATGTCATTTGCCTTTTTAACTTTCATTCTTTCACAAGTGTACGGTGGAGTTTTCCAGAGGCTATCTGACTTATGACATGTGATACTGCAAGAGACTGACTACAGAAGCAGATATGAGGATCTGGCTGTCTTTTATTAAGCCAGACACTGAGGAGATTTGCAAAAATGTAAAGCAATGCCACCAGAATTGTTTCTGTTTTGGAAGAATTAATTATGTTTTATTTTTAAATCATATGTTAACATATAATGGATCTATTATTGTTCTTATAAGAATTAATAAATACTTTTAAATATTTCAAAGAAAAAAAAGAATCATTGCTGGGGACCTAGTGTGGCTGTTTGGAGGTAAGAAGACACTGTGGCATTTAGAGTTGCCGGAGTTCTTACACTGGTTCTTTCTCATCTGTGTAGGCTGATATTCCTTTAATGTGTGAAGTTGCTGTCCTTTAGTTGGGGCTTTTTGCTTGTGTATGCTTTGATGGTCTTGATGGTTTGACTGTGGTATAAGTTGAGTTTAGTCAATTAGCTCCATTTCTGGATGATTTCAGGGAACCAAGGCTCAGCTCAGCATTCCTGGGCTGTGTGCTCGAACCCTGAGGGGCTGAAACCAGGCCCATGTTTTTTGTTGTTGTTTTTTTGTTTTGTTTTGTTTTGTTTTTTTCCTCCAGCCCCTTAAGTTTAAGCATATGCTGCACTGGAGGGGTTGAGGTGTTCCCAGTCCACTGGCACCAACATTCCAAATGTTGGTGATGGCAAAAGTGCCTCAGTGTGGTTGCAGCATGTCTTCCATGCATGTGCACCAGCAAAGTGGCTGGGGAAAGTTGCAGGCAAGTGTGTGCTGGCAGGGGAAGGCTGAGGTTGGGGTTACAGTGGAAAAAGAATGCCTTTAAAAGTTCTCTGGCTATTAGATAAGGTCTGCCAATGGTGGCCACTGGCAAGCACCTTGGCTGGGTAGTCAAGGTCACACTACAAGAATGAGAATGTGTGACCAGGCAGGGATGCTGGGAAAAGCTGGCAGATGGGATAGTACTCAGATCAGACTGACCCCATCCTACAGGAAAGACAGCCCTACTCTGTCCAGGTCCAGCAGCCAAGAAAGTCTAAAGCCAACTAGAAGAATATGACAATCTTTGGGGTATGGGCACCCGTGGCTGTGCTCCACTGCAGCTGTTCCTGTGTCAAAGCCTCTGGGCTCCACGCAGACTGGAGTTCTGTCTCTGCTAACTATCTGGGAAGTTCTCCCTGCTAGCTCAGATGTATGTGGGGGTTGTCCAGTCTCCTGCAGCTAGAATTTTGGAGGTCTGTGGTAATAGTGGGCCACTCCATGCCTATTTCGTTGACCCCTTCCCCAGGAGCCACTCAGGGCCAGAAAGGATTCCTAGTGCTTGGCAACTTTGTGCAGAGTTTCCAGCTTTCTTCCCTTTTAGCTCAGGCTCTGCCTCCTCCCTCCATCCATTCTCAATGACTTCTTTAGGAGAATATGTTCAGGGTGTAACAGTCTTCTCCATAGTCTGGTCTTCTGCTGGGAGACGCTCTTCCTGGCTGTATCTAGTCGGCCATCTTGGCTTCACGCCCGAGGGCAACACTCTTTCTTTCTTATTCAATTCATGTCATGTTAATTTTCAAAGGTCTTTGCTTTTCCTACATGGAATTAGTTGAAAAAGCAGGATTATATTAAATCTCTGGTAGACAGCACAACTCTATTTTTTGTGTTTTTATTTTATTATTTTTTAAATGCAGAGCTCCTTACCTTTCTGAATTCCAGGAAGACAGCAACACTTTTTATTTCAGTTTTTGACTTCTGACCACCATGAATTGAGTTTTGGCTATGTTTTATGGAATGGAGTTATTTTATAAACACATTGTGATGGCACAATAGACATTTACCTAGAAGCAGTAAGAGAAAACGGTGTGCCTTCACTAATGCCTTACAGAATTCCTTTGTCACTGCTGAGAAATCTCTCAATAGCTTAGGTAGGAAGTAGTAGAAAACAACTCATAGGCTTGAAATTCAAGAGAGATAAGAGTTACAGTTTTCGTTCTGTCATTAGGGAAGATTTTGTAGATACTTATGTAAATGATGAAGGTTTATATAGTCAGACAATGATCAACAGAATGATAGATGCCATGACCAAATCACCCTACAATCCCATAAGCTACTCTTATGTCCTTGGGAAGAACACTTCATTTTCCTTGGCTTCATTTTCATCATCTGTAAATAATTAGTACCGGTGGTTCGGAAGCATTTTAGCGTAATCAGAACCTTTTTTAAGTTACCTATGCAATCTTATGTGATTCCAAGATATTGCAAATATTATAAAGCTGAGAGACTGTCTCTGAAATGTGGATAGGAGATAAACTCTCACTGCTCACCACATTGGCTGCCTGGGGCAACTTTATGCAACACGTTTTAAAGGTCATTTTTATCAACATCTTTATGTAACTCTGCATTTTAAAAATATTTTTATCTCATTTGTACAATCAAATAATATTTACTTTCTGTACTTACTACCTTTGTATATTGATAGAAATCGATTCCATCCATGAAGAAATGATATCTACAAAGTTCTCTGAAATTTTGTATTTTAAAAAAAGCAATTCACCCTTGAAATTTGAAAATTTAACATCTGCAGCCTTCTTTCTTTTTGAAGCACATGATCAAGTGGTATTTGTACCCTAGAGAGTCAGGGATGCCATAAGACCACTGTGTGTGCACTGAGTGTGACATCCATTCACTCCCCTGCCTTAGCTCTTGAAAACTAAAGCTCTCCTTAAATGCCTGTATTAACTTAGCAAATGAACACTATAGTTCAGTAAGTATACTAGAGGCAGGGTATTAAGGCAGAGAAAATGCAATTTTAAAAATCTATTCATTATGAAAGGGTGAATATAGATCCTCCTGTGCTATAACTCAAGCGTTTCAGCCAGAGAGTTTCCTCTGATGGACCCTGCAATGCCATGTGTACTACCATAACGTGTGGAAGGTAAGGTGTAAATAAACTTTCCTTGTAGATACATATGGTTTCTTTCCTTTGAGTAATGGGCATGTATACATTTCAAATTAATTAAAATCAAACCTCTTTTAGTTTTCCTGTGCTATATGAATTGTATAATCCTCAAGGCAAGAATAGAATCATCTGCATTTTAAATATTTGCATGCACCATGACATATTGCCTGGCATTTACTATAAATTCTGGATTTTGAACTTGAGAGCAATTGATTAATAATTTACTGTGAACTTTTAGCCCACATGGCCCCTTTTTAATTTGTTTTTAATTTGGTGTCCCAGTTGGTACTTTAGTTGTCAATCAGTATAAGATGAATAAGAGTACCACATCCAGCCAAGTTTGGAATGCTATGTTAAACAAAATTGAGTAGCACTCAATAATGCGGAACTTTTTGGAACCTTTTGAAAGCTAAGATGCCTTGTGAAATTCTAATAGGGGAGTGCATTTGCAGTATTTTGCAGACTTTTTGACTACAGAATTATGTTTTTCTTCTAGGATATCTTATACAATTAGTACTCTGAAAAACATGTTTACAATAGTATTGGTTTGATAATTTTTCAAGGAAAACCCATTTTAGGATATCATCATTTTTTAAATGTATCCCAATCTAATCTCACTGAAGTTAAAACAGAAAATGGGACCAGGTAGAAGTCTATTTTGTTATTTTTCTGCTGGAGGAGTGAATGGTAGGAGGAATCATCTTAGTGAGAATTCATAGTTAGATAATTTTTTTATGTTTGTTTATTTATTGCTTCTTCAGGGAGAAATGTGTCTGCTGTCTTCACAGGGTGTCTGATTACAAGTGCAGAATGAGTAGAATGGATTTAATTTTTCATCCAAAGGGTGAGCAGTTTGCATTTTAAGGAGCACCACCTTCTACATCACTTTAAATATTAACGACTGACACTGCGATTCCTCTCTTTAATGTGCTTTGTTTTGGTGCTTGGCCAAGCCAGGAAGATGAAAACTCCCTTGGGGCCTGATATAGAATATAATTTGTTCTGAAATTTTGGTGGTAAACATGGTAATAAATTAGAGGGTGTAATGAATATGTATAGAAACACCCAGAATCCTCCTTCTATCCATGTGTTCCTTAGAATACTTAGTTTGTCACCCCTACAAATTCTGGAAAAACATATGTATAGGCTATGGCCATCAGAGTGACCTTAAGCTCACTCTTCATTTTTTAATTCAATGTTTTTATTTAAACATGTATTTGATATGGTTTATTTTACAAATACCTTTCTGAAACATCTAGGTATTATAGAATTCATCAGGAAGCTAGCTTTTTTTCAGTCTTTTTACCTGGAGTGCAAACTTCTCTGTGACTCTGCTTCTATCGTATCTAGTGCGGAGACTCTGAAGGAGGTGAGAGAAATCTGTAGGGGCTGGATCCGATGGGAACTCCTAGGTCATGATACCTACTTTAGAATGAAGAACCACTGCAAATGGCAAGACCATTGGTTGGTTTAAAGGGTCAAATGATTTTACCTATTTTGATTCTTAAAAAATATTTCTAACTTCTTTATAGATAATAGGCTATGGGAAATCAAAAGAGAAAACCAGGAAACAAATTAGAGGCAGTTGTTGTAGCCCAGCCTAATAATACTGGCAGTTTAGACTGGATCCTACAAACTATGATCACCATAATGGTAAGATTTCTATTTTGTTAACCTTTGAATATTCATTTATCAATTAGCATCCTAAAGACCATGGCGGAATACATTTTGTTTTATTTTTTAAAATACAGTACAGAATACATATCGACAAAGATAATTAACCTTCACCTCTGCTACCAATCTTCTTCCATTTTTCCCTCTCTGAGTCAGAGATGAGTGTGTGTCATAAATTGTCTTCAAGTGTAGGGATATAGTAATTAATAGGACCGTCAAATTTCCTACTTGGCTCTCCAAAATTTAGTTAAAAAGAGAAAGAGGTAAAACCAAGTACAACTGTCAAATCAGCCATCTTTTCATGAAAACATAGCTTATTTCACCAGAATTTTCATCATAACTATTGTCCAGTGGCCTCTGCTTTGTTTAAGAAAAATTATATTTCTGGGTTGAGAGGAATACACAAACCATCATGGGTTAATAGTCAATAGTTCCCCAGGAAACAGGGGAAAAAAAAACAGTTAATAATGATTCTTAGTTTAAGTTGCTGCAAAACTTCCAATGCAACGACTATCAGAGGCAGCAGTTAATTGTGTCTAAAATATTCCTCCCCTCCACTTGCTCTTGGTTTCCAAACATACAATTTAATTTTCAATTGAACGTGTTCAATTAACCACTTACCCATTTTGGATTAAATAGCCAGTATTTATTGAACCATTTTTATTCAGTGCTGTTCAATGTGAAAACATAGAAATTTAAGATATGCTTCTAGCTTCTCAGGAGCATTCAATCTAGCTGAGAAGACAAAATCTTAAATAATCTTGTCCATGTGTGTGCTATGGGCTATCCCTTGCATAAAGCAGATGAACAATATGCTTGTTATTGTTTGTTTTGTTTTAGTCAAAACCAACCACAGGCACTATAAAAATGGAAAATAATGGAAACACATTGATGAGTTAAGATAGAAAGGCTTTGGCCGGGCGCGGTGGCTCACGCCTGTAATCCCAGCACTTTGGGAGGCCGAGGCGGGCGGATCACGAGGTCAGGAGATCGAGACCATCCTGGCTAACACGGTGAAACACCGTCTCTACTAAAAATACAAAAAATTAGCCAGGCGTGGTGGCGGGCGCCTGTACTCCCAGCTACTCGGGAGGCTGAAGCAGGAGAATGGCATGAACCCGGGAGGTTGCAGCGAGCAGAGACTGCACCACTGCACTCCAGCCTGGGTGACAGAGCAAGACTCCATCGCAAAAAAAAAAAAAAAAAAGAAAGGCTTCACAGAGGAGCAAAGAGTGAATTGGTATTGGGAAAATCACTGGGCTCTGGAAGCGGAAGACATGGGGAATGGGGATGTTCTCTCAAGGCAGAGGAAACACTTCTGATCTAGGGCTTGGTGTGCAAGTGAACGACACAATCATCAAAACGAATCAAAGGCATTTGTTGCACATCAGAGGAGAACATTTTGTTTGCTCAGATAATGGAAGGCTCTGGAAGCAGCAGAATGACTATTAAATGTGCTAAAAATTTAAGAAGTTATGTGCTCTGATTAGCGGAAAGTTTTACATTTTGTTTTAATAAGATTCAAAGTAAATATGATATGCTAATTAGAGAGAAGCATAAGTACCTCAAAATTTATTATCTAATTGGTTTTGGGATAACAATTGACTTATTTCTTAAATACTTTGTTATAAATAGGGACTTCTTTCCTGGAAAAACATTCCATATCATAAAAACACCAAAATTCATTACAATACATGAAAAATAAATATGTGATTTTATTAATGTGCATTAGTAAGTGGAATAAAACTGTATTCAAGCTGCACTGTAAATATTCTCCTTGGAAGGTTTCATTTTTCCTACTGGGTTGGACCAGCATATCTTTTAAAACACAAGACTAAGCATATTTGTTGGAAGACTCTTTCTTCATTTCCTGATTAACCTATCTATAAGAAGCCAAGGTCTTCATTGCTTTAAGTATATTGGAATTATATCCAAAGATAATCGAATTTCACTTAAAACTCATCATTTCAGCATGCATACATGGCCCGGAAAATATTCGAACAGTAAATTTTGGTAAGGAAGGACATTTTTCAGTGGCTACTGTTTTGTTTTGTTTTGTTTTGTTTTCTCTTTAATCATCCCTTGCTCTTCCCTTCCAATAAGAATCAGTTGAATCACCACTCACTTCACTGTTATCAGGTAACTTGATGCAGAGATGTTTGCAGATGTTAGGCAAATATGCATCTACATTTGGTTCATCATTGGTACTGTGGGTTGAATTGTGGTCCCCAAAAAGATATGTCCAACTTCCTAACTCCTGGGATCTATGAATGTGACCATCTTAGAAAAAGGTTTTATACAGATATAAGTAAGTGAAAAATCTTGTGATGAGATCATCTTGGATTAACTGGGTGGGCCCTAAATCCAGTGAGAAGTGAGAGAACAAGAGAAATACATAGAGAAAAGGGCAATTTGAAGACAAAGGTAGAGACTGGAGTTATGTTAACACAAGGAAAGGTTGTCACCACCAGAAATTTGCAGAGGCAAGGAAAAGTCCTCATATAGAGACTTGAAAGTTAGTGTAATCCTCCCAGCACTTTGATTTGAACTTCTGGCCTCCAGAACTTTGAGAGAATACGTTACTGTTATTTTAAGTCACCAACTCTGTGGTACTTTTTTACAGCAGCCCTTGGAAACTAACCCAAATGGGGTGAGGCTTGTTTATGACAAAATACACTGTAAGTGAGTTTTTTGTTTGTTTGTATATTTGTTTGTTTTTGAGATGGAGTCTCGCTCTGTTGCCCAGGCTGGAGTTCAGTGGCACAATCTCGGCTCACTGAAACCTCTGCCTCCAGGGTTCAAAGGATTCTCCTACCTAAGCCTCCTGAGTATCTGGAATTACAGGCGCACACCACCACACCCGGCTAATGTTTGTATTTTTAGTAGACACGGGGTTTTGCCATGTTGATCAGGCTGGTCTCAAACCCCTGACCTCAAGTGGTCCACCCCCCTCAGCCTCCCAAAATGCTATGATTATGGGTGAGAGCCACCGTGCCCAGATGTAAATGAGTTTTTGATTTAACTTTAGTTGAGGGTCATTTCTAAATAATTCCAGGAAGAGGTTAGAAAGCCTCTATGTGGAGAGCAGAAAACCAAAACTAAAATATTGCTAGGGATACCACCTTTCAATACTGAATTCTGTATATGTGGTGCCACCACATGATTAATGACCTAATAGCATAATAGACCTGTCTGAACTAAGATAGTCTAGGAAAACAACAGCAGAGTGTATAGTTGTGTAATAACTGTTAATATTTTAGGCAGTGTTGTCACTCATGGAGCCAATGGTCAGTAATAGTGGAGGTAACTGTGTTAATATTAATAGTAACTGTGTTGTTTTAAGAAGATACAAGGCTTCAATGCCTCACCTATTCAAAAATGTTTTTGGAATGTGACTTTGAGAAACCAGGGGTGAGGTTCATGAAAAGTTAGGTCAAGATGACTCTCTATGTCCCAGATATTATAGATAACATACAGTCAATTCTTAACTATCAATAACCAGATTATCAATGCCTTTTATTATGGTAAGTTTCTAATCAAAACGTGAGTTACCTGGTCAAAGCCAAAGACAACAGAGCTATATTTATTTACTAGTAGGAAAATATCTCTGCTGAGAAGATAGAGATTATGGCCAGAATCTTCACTTCGGGCATGGTTTACCTGAAACTATGTTGCAAAGTGGATTTCTGTAAAGTAAATTGTATTTTTTCACTGAAATGCTATTATAATTGGGGCTTGCATTCTTTAGCCTCATGCTTGGAAAGATGAGCAGAAACTTTATTTACATGGTCTTTTGTTGATTCTGCCTGTGAGCTTCTTCATAAGGTAGATAACTGAGAACTGATGCTATTTTTAACATGACACACTTTTAGGGAAAGTGGTTAGTAAATGAAAACTCCATTGATTCCAACTAATGGGGGGAAAAGCAGGCATGGTTCTTATCTTGAAGGAATTTACATTATTCTGGAAAAAAATGTAGAAAACAGTCATTAAATTACTACAATTGGTGAAGTATGAAGGGCAATACTCAGGTGCTGAGACAATATGCAACCGGCAGAACCTCGCCCAGAGAATGATGATAAGGAAAGAAGTCATTTTATTCTTCTTCTCTCAGATGAGTCTCTGATGATCTATTTTTTAGTTTTTTTAATCGAAAACACTTACAGTATATTTTAAATTTTCTCTCAAAGAACTAGGTCATTCTAAGTTCACTAAAGAGAGCTATCAGTCTTTTTCTCTGGTACTTGTTTTCTTAAGTAACATCCTCACCTAACACACTATTACTTTCATACCTAGATTGCCTTCAGTCCTTGTTACAGGACAACATCATCACTTTCACATATAGGTAAAGCTGCTTCTTTTACTTTGTTTGCTAACCTTTTCTCTCTCTACCTTCCCATTTATTTCTTCTTCGTGCAAGCACTCCTCCCAAGACATCCACTGAAAACAGGGAGGTTAATTGAGAGGCAGACGCAATCACAGCCTCAAAGTTACTAGATTGCCTTTCTTCTGGAATCCTCAACCACAATGAATTGCACAGTTTCGACTTGCAAAAATCCCAGAATTGAAATAGGTTTTAGAATCAAATCTATCTAATAATATTGGCTAGTATTTAGTAAGTGCACACCATGTGTGAAGTACTCTCCTTATAACACTTAAATTTTCTCATTTAATCTCCACAACAATGCTATAAGCTCCATCTTTATTGCCATCTTTATTTTCTAAAGGAGAAAACTGAGACAAATAGACTCTAAGTAACTTTTCTTAGGCTCCATTACCAATAACTGGCAGAGGAAGATATGATCCTAGGTCTCTGAGTTTCTTTGGATAAGGGCCCCAAACACATAAATGCTATAGCCCACCACTTCCTCATCTAAATTAGTCTCCTCTTTTACTAATCTATTAGTTTAACCAAGAGGGCTACACATAAGGTTCCCTAACCAAGAGTAATGCAGAGTTGAAACTAGATCCCAAATTTAACTTCCGATTAAGACTTTATTTGTGATTAAAGTCCTGGAGATTCAGGGTGCCTTATGCCCCATATACTCTCATGAAAATTTAGTCCAAGTTTTGCAAAATGCTACAAAAAGGAAAATTGAAATACATAAGATTTAGCTTGTTAATTCTTCTAATCTCAAGATTTAATAATGAGCAATCCTATTTCTTTATGTAGAATTTTTTAAAAGAAAAACCACACAAAAATCAAAATCTCTGCTTTGCCTCTAATAAATTATTTTTATAGGGTTGGGAAAGCCAGTCAATTCTTTCGTCCTCTGTGTTCTCATTCTGTAAAAAAGATGAGCGAAACTTACTTCATAGGATTAATACGAGAATTAAAAAAGATAATGTAGCCCATACAAAACACTGACTACAATAATTACCTTCCTCTTCTAAACTTTTTCTTTTATTAACAAATATTTAGGAAATATTTCATAAAGTTCTGGAGCCCTTCACATATATTTAGTCTTCCCTCAGGATTTTGCCTTTTTCTGAGTTAAAACCCATTTGTTTGACCTTCACTGAGGCTGGAGACTAGCAGGTAACTTTGTTGAAATATGACTCAATAAATAGGAAATACTCTTGATTTTTGGATATCTTCTGATGTTATCTGTAAAAATTCTGAGGCATAGATTTTGTACTCAAGATTTCTGTAGGGAAGAGAGATGAACATATTCTGGTAAAATAGCCTATATAACCATTACTCCAAGTGCAAAATATATTTGATTAGCTCAAACTGTTAGGAACATGTATTGCTTAAAAAATAAATTGGATGTAATTTTTTTAAATGCGTTTGAGTCATGGTAGCATTTTAAGATCTCCGTCTCACCCCCTGTTCCCATGGAAATTAAACTGGGCAGAGGGTGCTGAAGAAATGACTCCTATTAGACAGGAGAGGGATGTTTTTTTTCCTGCTAGTTTCTAGCTTCTAAAAGTTTCTGTTGTATTGGTGTGAAAATCTGCAAATGACCTTTGCATTTCATTTGGCCTATTGCTGGTTTAGTCATAGACAAAGCTTACTAAGAGTTACATGAAAGTTATGTCTTCAGGGATATAGTTGATATATACAGTGCCTATCCAAAAGCAAAGGAATTCATTAAATAATAATCTGTGATTCCTTGTGAATTCTTCCAATCTAATGACTTATTCAAGGGCAGGGCTATTTATTTAGGTAGAATCTTGGTAAAAGTAAAGATATATGAAAGTTTAAGTTATCATCTTCATTGTGCCTCTAATATTTTACCTCTGTAGCATCTAGCAATATCATAAAGTGAAGACCAATGAAGTAGTTTCTATACTTTCCCTATGTTTGATAGCATTGTGAATCTAGTATTTCTATAAAATAAATAGATGCCTTTGTCATTTAGAACCATGATGCATCTTTCAAACATAATAATCTACCAGAAGCTTCCTAACAGCCCAATTTGTTCAGCATTTTCTATGTGTTACTCTTTTAGTTGTATTATTCGTATTTCATTTTATTTTATTTTATTCTAGTAGCAAGCTCTGGAGGGGACATTTCCATGTCAATATTACAGAAAAAAATCTGAATCTATGGAATCTGTTGTTAAACAATGTGCCGGAGGTCATTAGATTTTTTTTTAGAGAGTAGGAACTCAGATTTTCATCCATCTTACTACAAACAAATTGCTTGTTTGCTTTTTCTATTTTGTATTTGAAATGCTCAATACAATGCCAAGCATTTATTTTTTAATTTTAATTTTTATTTTTATTTTACTTTAAGGTCAGAGATACGTGTACAGAACATGCAGGCGTGTTACATAGGCATACATGCGCCATGGTGGTTTGCTCCATCTATCAACCCGTCATCTAGATTTTAAGCACCATATGTGTTAGCTATTTGTCCTGATGCTCTCCCTCCTCACCACCTCCCGACAGGCCCCAGTGTGTGTTATTTCCCTCCCTGTGTCCATGTGTTCTCACTGTTCAGCTCCCACATCTGAGGGAGAACATGAGGGGTTTGATTTTCTGTTCCTGTGTTAATTTTCTGAGGATGATGGCTTCCAGCTTCATCCATGTCCCTGCAAGGGACATGATCTCATTTCTCTTTATGGCTACATTCTATTCTGTGGTGTATATGTACCACATTTTCTTTATCCAGCCTGTCATTGATAGGCATGTGGGTTGGTTCCATGTCTTTACTATTGTAAATAGTGCTGCGATAAACATATGTGTGCATGTATCTTTATAGTAGAATGATTTGTATTCCTCTGGGTATATACCCAGTAATGGGATTTCTTGCTGGGTCAAATTGTATTTCTGGTTCTAGCTCCTAGAGGAATCAACACACTGTCTCCACAATGGTTGAATTAATTTAACCATTTAACCTACCAACAGTGTAAAAGCTTTCCCATTTCTCCACAGCCTCAACAGCATCTGTTGTTTCTTCATGTTTTAATAATCGCCATTGTGATTGGGATGGGATGGTATCTCATTGTGGTTTTGATTTGCATTTCTCTAATGATCAGTCATGTTGAGCTTTTTTTCATGTTTGTTGGCTGCATAAATGTCTTCTTTTGAGAAGTGTCTGTTCATATACTTTGCCCATTTTTTGATGGGGTTGTTTGTTTTTTTCTTGTGCATTTGTTTAAGTTCCTTCTAAATTCTGAATATTAGACCTTTGTCAGATGGATAAATTGTAAAATTTTCTCCCATTCTGTAGGTTGCTGGTTCACTCTGATGATAGTTTCTCTTTCTGTGCAGAAGCTCTTTAGTTTAATCAGATCTCATTTTTTAATTTTAGCTTCTGTTACAATTGCTTTTGGCCTTTTCATAATGAAACCCTTGCCCATGCCTATGTCCTGAATGGTATTGCCTAGGTTTTCTTCTAAGGTTTTTATGATTTGGGGTTTTACATTTAAGTTTTTAATCCATCTTGAGTTAATTTTTATAAGGTGTAAGGGAGGGGTCCAATTTCAGTTTTCTGCATATGGATAGCCAGTTTTCCCAGCACCATTTATTAAAAAGAGAATCCTTTCTACATTGCTTGTTTTTGTCAGGTTTGCTGAAGAATGCCAAGCATTTAGATGCTAATCAGTTAAGTTTTGTTTGTCTTTAAGATTTAATTTTTTCCAGGTGCAGTGGCTTACACCTGTAATCTCAACACTATGAGAGGTCAGGGCAGGAGTATTCCTTGAGGCCAGGAGTTCAAGACCAGCCTGGACAACATAGCAAGATCCTATCTCTTAATTTTTTGTTTTTAGTTCGCTGGGCATGGTAGCACATACCTGTGGTGCCAGCTACTTGGAAGGCTGAGTCAGAAGCAATGCTTGAGCCCAGGAGTTGGAGGCTTCAGTGAGTGGTGATCATGCTGCTGAACTCTAGCTTGGGTGACAAAGCAAGACCCTATTTCAAAAAAAAAAGAAAAAGAATTTAATGTTAATTTTTTATGAGGCTTGTTTCTGGTAGTGTACATTCCTCTTCTGCTGCTATGAATAGTCATTTTTTTCTCCTTTTTATGTCTTAGTTTCCTTTGTTCATTCCATGCCTCTGTTTCTCTGTGTCTGATGTGTTTATTGCATTAAACTATTTTAAGGATTAAATGAGATGGTGTCCATGCAAGGACTAGCATGGATCCCAACATAAAAGTCATGTTGAGTAAATGCTAGTAACCTCTCTCATTTGGGGTTGGTGCCAGCACCTTCTTGCTTGTCCTATACCTCTGAAGATCAGGACCAGCCATGGCAAGGCCAAAAGGAGGGAAGACATGAAGCTGGGGACTTTAATTTCACTTCCCTTAAATGAAGAGGACTTTCACATTTCCTTCACTATTAAAAGCCTCTTTGTTCAGTCTTCTGATAGCTACACAGTAGGAAGGGTGAATGAAAAGTGGATAGAGGACCAGTGCAGAAATCCCCAAACAATGCAAAACATCCACACTTACTTGTAAATTCATTGGTAAAACTAGTTTGCTTCTTTCTACTATACTTGACATTTTGGTGGTAGTTTATGGCCCCCGATATTTTTTTTTTTCCCCACCTTTTATTTTTTTTTCCCACTGAAGATTCTTGAGGAGACTGAGATTGAAGGAGAAGGGTTTGCATATACACTTTTTTTTAAACAATTATGTGTTCTTAAAATCTGTGTAAAAATTCTAACCTTTTCATTGTTGTAGATTAATACTTACTTTGATTATAGTACAGGAAGACCTTACTTTTTTTTTTAAAAAAAAAGGAAAGTCTATAATTCATAGTGAATCATCTTTTAGGGTAAATCTTTTAAAAACTCATTAAATTTTCTCTCTTCAATGAATTCTGAGTTTTATGTGTTGGATTTGCTTCAGGAAAGACTTCATCTAAACTAATTTGTATAGTCATGTTTGCACAAGGCACAAAGGGCTCAGTGGCAAAGCCTGAGGGATGCCAGATAGGAAAATACAGACACTCAAATATAAGAAATAGACTACCTTTGCTCCATAAATAAATGGGTCTAAATTTCTGTTTCCCATGCCTGGCCATTCATTTCAATCGTTAAAGTGTCTACAATTAGCTAGACACTGTGTGGGAATACAAATATGGATGCCATGCTCCCTTTCCTCTAGGGCTGATAATTTAGTGGTGTGACATACTTGTGCAAATTTAAATAAAATACAATACCAAAAAGAAGCTTGGAGAAGAGAAACAAAGATCAATGGGAGAACGGAGGAGAGGGAGATTGTAATGCATCTGGGAAGTTTCATTTACTTATATATTCATTCATTTGCTATACAAACATTTACTGCAGACCTATTATGAGTCAAGATCTATTATTGGTGCAGGTGCTGGACATAACGTGAGAAATATATGATAGGCAATTAGTAAGTACTCATTGAAAACAGGAATGAATAAACATGTAAATATAGAATTTCTGCCCTTAGAAATTCTACCCTCTATGGAAGAAGCACACAATAAAAAATGCATTAAACAATTTCAGGCAATGGTTAATGTTACAAAAAAATTAAAGCTCAGTAAGCAGAGAATAAAGATGGACAGGTAGTATTTTTGACATCTTACAGTTTCATGGAGTCATAAGCTTTCAATCTGGATGTGAATGGTGGGTAACATTTTGGTAGGAAGGAATGAAAGTTGAAATTCTTTCCCTTAAACTCTATTCATATACCCTCCACACATTTACTACTCTAATATTTTTAGTTTACTGGTCTGCTTTTACCAATGAAATGGAATTTCTAAGGACAGAGACCATGTCTGACTTATCTTTATATTCCAAGCACTATGCTTAATATGTATTAGGTCCTAATAAACATGTTTGGAATCAGTTATCAATAAGTGATGGGGCAAAAATAAACAGAGATACTCACTTGGTGTGGCTGCATTTGAAGATTTTGAATAGATTGGTATAACTGGATGTTAGGTGTTTGGAGGTGTTACCAGGTGGTGGAGTATAGTATTGAAGACAGACTAGATTGGGACCAGACTGAAAACTGATGGCCTGAGAATTAGATTGAAAAATTTGCATTTAAGTGGGGAGTCACTGAGTAAGATCCTCTGACAGGAAAGAAACTCTTGTGTGTATGTGGTTTTTTGTTTGTTTGTTTGTTTGTTTGTTTGTTTGTTTCGTTCTTTGGAGACATGGTCTTTCTCTGTCACCCAGGCTGCAGTGCAGTGGAATGAGTGCATAGCTCACTGCACCTTCAAACTCCTGGGCTCAAGCAACCCTGCCACCTCAGTCTCTGGAGTACCTGGGACTGCAGGAATGCACCATCACACCCGACTATTGTTTTTTTAAAAAAATTATTTATTTTAATATTTGCAGAGAGAGGGTCTCACTTTTTACCCGGACTGTTTTCAAATTCCTGGCCTCAAGTGATCCCTGACTTCAGCCTCTCAAAGTGCCTGAATGACAAGCATGAGCCACCATGCCTGGCCTCTTGAAGAAGGAAAATCTTAGTGTTATAATTGCCCCCAATAAGTACCAGACATCTAACACCTGCCAGGTGCTAGAAAATCAAGTACTTAATCAGTTAGTCATCAATTTTAAAGGATGTGCCCAGCGTTTGAAAATAGAGAGTAAAGGAGAAGGAAAAACCTAAAATAGCTTCAGTTTTAAACCTGAAACAAGTGTGGGAATGAAAAAACACTGACTGGAATAGAAAACACAGGTAAAGGCTGCTGGTTGCCAAAAAGGTATTAGGAAATCTTCTTGAACTGACGAGTTCAAAGAGGTACAAACCTTTCTGCAAAGCCAGCCAACTGCAAGTTTTGTAACACAGAACTATATATACTATGCTATGAAATGAGCAAAAACAGTACTTAGAGTTTGGAGAAGTGCTCAAGTTTTCTAGAGGCTTCTCTCTGGTTCCTATTCCACGCCTCTTACGATAACCTTCTAGCTGCACATCTAGGCTGTGTGTCCTTACACCTCATGATTGGCTAAATAAGCCAGAGGGAGTAACATTTTTATGAGGTTTGGAGAGATAGCCAGATGTGAAATTTTCTAGAAAACAACCCTCTGAGATAATTATAGTTGAAATACAGAAGTAGGGGTTGGGGGAGAACTCAAATAATAATAATGAACTTTTTAAACAAATGTTTCTCTGCTTGCTTATTGTTATAGATTGACACATAAGATTAATATTTCTAATTAGCATTTGCAACCAACTGCATGCTACCAACCAAAGAAAAGCAGATTAATGATGATGTGTAAAAATAAATTTTCAGGCTGCAAAATAAAACATGTAAAATAGCCAGATTTTACTACCCATGCTGAGAAAAGTAGCATTAATTCACCTGCAAAAATATCACTGAATAAAAGGCCATTTAGCTCACTTGCTTTAATGCCACTAATAGACAAGGTAAAGCTGTTAAGGGCAGTCAGCAAGTACCTACATATTTAAAGGGAGGAGGGCTTTTGAATAATTCCATACTCTTGAATTTTAGTTTGAATGTCTATTATTGCTGGTCACATATCCCTGCATAAATTACATAAATGAATGTCTGGTCTTGAAACTTGAGCCAGATGGAATTTATCTGATGAATAATTCCTAAAATACGCAAATATGTAAAGCTAACTGTACATGTTATTTTGAAAGCCTTATTATTGATCTTTTAATGATTTCACTGATATTCTAGTTCATTCTAGAATAAAATAATATAAAACTGAGTATGCAGTATGATTAAGGGAGAAAAAGATCAAGACCTCTTAGCTAAGTGTTCTACTTTGAAATTTATTTTGACTGATGCATTACAAAATAATAGACATTATGCCTTGATTCTTCAATTACAAAGCATTTAGAGAAAATATTTTTCTTTTAATACAAAGAAACATCCTCATTTGCTTAGCTTGGCTTTTTCTGTATAAAATACCTTAATTTGCAATTCTTAGTAATAGTTTTCTTCTTTCAAGTGTTTCCCCTTCAAAAACAGAATAAGACATCTGCATTGTTTTTTTAAATGAACATAATTTTGTCTTCTTTTTTCTCTTGAATTCAGAAACTTTTACAAGAGAAGCTGTTGCTTTGTTGATTTCAAAGATAGTTTCAGCCCAAGACCTAGGCTTATAGGAAGAAGTTATTCTGAGTCACTACTTTGAGCAGAGATGGACTTTTTATTCATGTAGTATGCCTTATATACTAGAAGAATCAAAATTTGCTAATTGCCAAAATGTGTTGAGGTTAATTGCTAAAGATGCAAGAATGAGGCAAACCCCAAGTTGCTAATAGAATGCTGAACCGAAGTTCAAACCATCAGACATTAGAAAAGTTCGCACAAGTGAAAGATACCATTGTTGAAAAGAAGGATAAAACATCTTCATGGGATAAAACAACTTATGAAATATAATTATTAATAGACTTTTTACTACAGTCTTTTTGTGTGTGTGTTGGAATATGTCATAAGCAAGAAAAGAGTTTAGTGTATTTTAGTCTGAACATTCCAAACGGTATCGAGTGCTGAAGCTCTTAGGAGTTTCCTTTCTGGCACAATATGTTGGTTTGGTCCCCTGATATACAACTTCAGAGAGTTGGAGTGGCAAAGGCATGCTTACCTAGAGCTTCATTAGGAAACCTTGCACATTGCAGATTTTGCTTTGCTTGTGGTGGTAGCTGGGCACTTATGAAGAAAGTTATTTTTAAAAAAACCCTAAAGTATTATATTATTTAAATGTATCATGCTTACACAATTGACATGAACTCTAGTTTGTGCTTGTTATAAAATTGTATATGTTTGTTAATTACTGCTGAAATTATTCATCAAGCTTAATGAGGCAAATTGGGTATCTAGTAACTTGGGCTCTAATCCTAAATGCCTCATTCCACATGACACATACAATTCAATAAATATTTACTAAGCTTCGACTCTGTGAAAGGTACTGTTCTAAGTCCCGGGGTTATGGCAGTGAACAAGATGGAGAATGTCTCTCATTGAATGGATTTTACATTTTACATAGTAAACAACAAACAAATACATATAAGGTTAAGAAGTAATATGTACTTTGAACAATAATAAAAATAAGGGGTTATCATGGGAGTGCAGGCAATTTTAGATAGAGTGGCTGTCAGGCAAGGTCTGTCTTTGGAAGTATGTTGAGAAGATAACAAACAAAAGTTAATAGTTCCATCAGCACGTGTGGTACATTTAAGTGTGTTAGCAAAGATGTCCCTTCTTTTTTGTGTTGTAGATCTACCCTGGGGTTCGTTTGTCAGTGCCCAATATTTAGGCTGTATTTCATCCTGCGTTTGACTTCACTGTCAAGTGCCTTTGTGTAGTGCCTAAACCCCACAACTGTATGTTGTAGCCATGGAAGTGAATAAAAGTATGAGAAGATCCAAGTGAAAAGATTGTCAGGCAGAGGAAACACCTAAAGCAAGTGCCTTGAGTTGGATATAAAATTGGTGTATTAAGAAACAGCAAGATGTCTACTGTGCTGGGAGCAGAGTGAGTGAAGGGAGGCGGCAAGTTATTCTCAGTGAGCTTCAGGATACTCACATTTAATAAAATAATACTTGGCGTGATTTTCCATTTATCCTTTCATGCATGCATTAAAAACTATGAAATCTACATGTATTGGTTAGGTTTCTTTGTCGGTGGCAGATGCCAAGTGTGGTTTCTTTAATCAATAACTTCTGAGTAGATACTAATTAAAATTTTAGGAAGGATATAAGTGCTCAGAAGCAGCAGAAAGTTGAAGAACAAGCTTAAAGTGAGTAAAAAGCAAGACAATGCTGAAGGACTAGGAAGGAATAACTCAAGGAAAGAAGGATCTCATAATGGACATATTTTGTTCAGAGCCTGAGGGAGAATTGCATGAACTGTAATTATTTTTGGATTTGTGTTTGTTTATTTTTTCTTCAGCTCAGGACTTCAAGATAGAGATTTTCAGTAGAACTATGTTGGACCCTCTGCTTATTCAGCTAAGGAAGTACCAGGCTCCCTACTATAATCCCAGTAGATTTTATCCAAGGAGGAATCATGCTGTCATTAGGAAGAAAAATGAATGTGGAACAGCCAAATACCAGACGGAGCCATAGGCCAAAGAGAACAGTAAGCATATAAGACATATAAGACACATATACATATAAATTTATTGTCTTTCAGAGGGTTTTAATAAGTTTGGAGACTAATGTATATATATACTTGTAAGATAAGATTGGGGACTAGTGTACATATATACTTATAATCTTATTAAAAGTATATATTAATATGTATTTATAATCTTATAAAACGTATGCATATATACTAAAAATCTTATTAAAACTACACTGTAGTTCCAGTTACTTGGAAGGCTGAGGCTGAGGTGGGAGGATGGCTTGAGCCCAGGTGGCCGAGGCTGCAGTGAGCAAGATTGCACCACTACACTCCAGTCTGGGCGACAGACTGGGAGACCCTGTCTCAAAGGAAGAAGAAAAAACAATCTGCATCTGAGCAGACATTCAGGGTGTTCATATGAAGGGGTGAAGGAGGTAAATGAGGACCACATGTTGACGGCATCTAATGTCATGATACATTAGATTCAACATTGGGTAAATAGTTTTAAACCCTAGCCACTCAACAATTTAAATTAAAGAAAAATTGTAACACTTTCCTTAATGTTTTCAATTTAGACTCATTGATAATATAATCTATTGACACAGATAATTAAAACAAAACAAAACAAAAAAGAAAAAAACAAAATAGTGCTCACAACAGTAATGAGAATTCAAATGAGGGATGGTAATTTGTAACAAAAAAGATATGTATTTCAATATATAAATCCTCCTGCACAGTTACAATAAGGAAGTAAATAGTAAGAAGCTCTTCCCTCTACCCAGACTCATGAATGTAACAGTTGCAAATGCATACTGATACAGATGTGTTGCATTGGTGACTCCATCAGTACTGCCTGCATGATTGCATGGATACAATTTGCCTAAATGGTGAACCCTTCTTGGCCAAGTTCCAAACCAACAAAGTTTGATTTTCTCTATTTCTCTCAGGTATTAACCTTCTGGAAAATTCAGGTACAGGGTGCAATTTGATGTTTTCATGTAAAATAGAATGAAGGTCCAGTGTTAGATAATGATATGTCTGCTTTCCACGTGCTCAGTGTTCAGTGGGTTTTCTAGAGTCCTGCACCATTGGCACAATTCCTCCTCATGTGGAATTGTCCACGCACTGTGAAACTTCTATCAGCCCTGCCCATTAAATGTCAGTAGAGTCTGCCATCACTATGACAACAAAAAAGCTCCACATTTCCAAAACTCACATTAATGGGTAGGATTGCACCCTTTGAGAACTTTAAGTGGACATAATGAGAGAATGGGTGTAACTAGATTTGCTTTATTATAAATGCCAATTTGGAAAAGAAATCGCAAGGAGTAAGGAATCAGAGACTGAAACTAAGGCAGTAATCATGAATATAAAGAAAGGGAGACATATTTGAAAAACACCACAATGTGGAGACTGATTGGAAGTGAAAGCTGAGGGAAAAGAAGGATTAGAGATGTTTGGATCATGGTTACATTTTGTAGTTAAGTGACTGGTGACATTAATCAAATCTGGTACTATGGGACGCAACATATTGCAAAAAGAAGAGATAGTAAGCACAGTCCTCAACATATTAAATTTGATGCACATCTGTGTCTCCACATGGATATGCCTATTAGGTAGCTAGAAATTTTGGTCTTGAGCTCAGGAGGGAGATCTTAGCAGAGGATATAGATTTGAGATTCTTTGGAGTATGAATAGAATGCCAAGAAGTACAGCTGTTAAGGGAAGGGGCAGAGTCACAGAGCCAGTTAGGGAAAACAGCAAATATAATTTAGAAAGTTAGCATATTCTTTTCTATCATGAGTTACCAATGAGTCTTGAAGAAAATATTCCCCCAAGCACCCAGAAGTTAAATAGGCCAATGACATTTAAGAAATAAAGCAAATAGTGCTTGTTTGCTTTTATTATTCCAGAAACACATACTATTTTTCAGTCTTATTAAATGGGGCATTATATTTAAAGCACATTTGGGCTTGGAGGCAAACCTCAATTCACATCTTAACACTCACGTGTGAATTTTCATTGGATAAGTCACTTGAAACTTATGGGACTCAGTTTTCCCAACCTTAAAATGAGGATAAAATGTCCAAACCACAAGATGATTCAGAAGATTACATGAGAAAATATCCATGAAATGAGAGCCTGGCTTGAGTCTGAGAGGTACTCAGAAACATTTGACAACCTGGGGAAGAAGACAGATCTGAGAGAGACATGTCCTTTATGTCACGACTGCAGAGTCCCTTGTGAAAAACCTCAAATAGGAGGCTTGCTGGTGGTTAGAAAACACCCTATAATCTGAAAGAGTGTTGGGAGTTCTACAGATGGCTATGTTCAGTAGAGTCAGTGGGTCATGCCTACGAAGAGAACTAACTCAAGCTACCTGAGAAAAGGGAAGAGAAAGATTAGCAACTCAGTAAGGAGCGTGTTGACAGAGCAGTGTTGGCCTGGGTGGAGTGTGGTGGCTTTGTCTGGAGTATGCCCTTAACCCACGCTAGGTACACATACACACACACAGACACGCACACACACACATATACACACTCAGAGAGGACCTAGGGGAGACAGGATTCTAAATAAAACTCAAAACAAAGATTCTGCTAATTTTTTAGACAGTGAGGCACAAAGAACACTCCTTTTGGACACACCTCAAAGAAAGTATTGGGAGGGGGAGCACTCCTCCAGCAGGGACTGAAGTGATTTTTACTGCCTTTGCAGTGTGTTCTTCCACACATGCCTATAGAGATTGTAATACTTGGAGGGATAACAAGAAAAGGGGAAGTTAGCCCACAGGAAAGATAATATCAATGTGGCAGAGTAGTAGGGGTACCTGCAGCAATTTATTTGCTTCTGTGCACACAGGAGACATTCTCTAGGGCCTCCCAGAGACATTCACAGGGAACTACCTGTGAGAGGCCAGGACATGGTGCCTACAAAGGGTGAAGCATGAAAAATAAGACTTTATGAATACTGATTGTATTAGTCCATTTTCATACTGTTATGAAGAAATACCTGAGACTGGGTAATTTATAAAGGAAAAGAGGTTTAATGGACTCACATTTCATCATGGCTGGGGAGCCCTCACAATCATGGTGGAAGGTGAAAAGGAGGAGCAAAGATACGTCTTACATAGCAGCAGGCAAGAGAGTGTGTGCAGGGGAATCGCCCTTTTTAAAACCATCAGATCTCATGACACTTATTCACTTTCATGAGAACAGCACGAGACAAACCTGCCCCCATGATTCAATTACCTCCCACGGGGTCCCTCCCATGACACGTGGGGATCATGAGAGCTCCAATTCAAGATGAGATTTGGGTGGGGACACAGCCAAACCATATCACTAACATTCCTCCTGATGGTGTTCACAAACATAAAGCACTTAGCTCAGGCCCTGAGGCATAGCAAATAATTTGGAGTAGTAGAAGTAGATTTAATATTAAATATCTATGTTTCCTACATTGGGGAAGTTTATTTGTACACTTGGGTTTCTGCCAAATTGAATTCATTGATGAAAAGAAAAACAAATGGTAAAGGATAAAACAAAAATAAATCACATATTGGTACACTAACATATCAAAGGAAGGTAGAAAGTTGTGTTTTCAGCATTTGTTCTCAGGGCTGCTGCAGTCCCACCAGGAAGCTGCTGGCTGCTCCTCCAAGGCTCACGCTGCTCTCTGACAGACGGCGACACACCAACTACATTGTAATTGGAAACTCAAGGGAGATTAGCCTTAACTTTTCTTAATTAAAAATAATAATTATGATACCAAGACCATGAAAAAGGTGGGCTGCCTTCTCCCTAGAATATGTTAAAATATAAAGAGAGAGAATGGGATTTAATGAGCTATACCACGTTTGACCCAATTAAATCCTCAGTCTCCTGTATCTCAGCCTCCACTTGGCCTCTGAGGCTCACAAATAGTTACTGGACTCGGCTCATCAATAAAGCCACTGTAAGGAATAGGTTTCTTGCCCTAGATACATGTTATGATTGACAGTGTAATCTACAAGAATGTGATGATGTCAGGAATGCCATGATATATAAGAGATTTCTATATTGCCTACCAGGCTTCTTCTAATTGTGATAGAGTATCGGGAGTTATAGGTATTGAGATGCAAAACTGTGCAGGACAGAGTTAGCCCTTTTTCTTAACACATACAATAGAAATTTATCAGAGTGCACTGCAACATGTTAGGACTGTTTTGTGAAACTTCTGCTTTTGTGTGTGTGCACCCATTCACATAGCGGATCACAGTGCAAAATCTGTATCTTGCTGTGTATCATGGCAGAAAACCAATTTTGTTTGGAAAAACACTTCTATATCAGATCTACATCACTCATTCTTAACTTTTGTGAATCACAAAGCATTTTTAAATTTTTTATATTTTTAACTTTTATCTTCATTTTGGGGCCACATGTGAAGGTTTGTGTATTAGGGTTCTCAAGAGGGACAAGACTAATAGGATAGATGTATATATGAAGGGGGTTTAATTAGGAGTATTGACTCACGTGATCATAAGGTGAAGTCCCACAATAGGCTGTCTGCAAGCTGAGGAGCAAGGAAAACAGTTTGAGTCCCAAAACCTCAAAATTAGGGATGCTGACAGTGCAGCCTTCAGTCTGTAGCCAAAGGCCTGAGAGCCCCTGGCAAACCACTGGTGTAAGTCCAAAAGTCCAAATGCTGAAGAACTTCGAGCCCAATGTTCAAGGGCACGAAGTATCCAGCAATGGAGAAGGATGACTTTCTGAAAGCAAATCAGGTCTGCTCTTTTCATCTTCTTCTGCCTGCTTTATTCTAGCTGTGCTGGCAGCTGATTAGATGGCGCCCACCAAGATTGAGGTGGGTCTGCCTCTCCCATTCCACTGACTCAAATGTTAATCTCCTTTGGCAACACCCTCACAGACACACCCAAGAACAATGCTTTGCATCCTTCAATTCAATCAAGTTGACACTCCATATTAACCATCACAGTTTGTTACATAAGTAAACACATGTCACAGGGGTTGTTGTACCTATTATTTCATCACCCATGTATTAAGCCCAGTACCTAATAGTTATCTTTTCTGCTCCTCTTCCTCCTCCCATCCTCCCCTCTCATCGCCACCAGGGTCTAGCATTATAAAAGTTTGAGTAAAACCATGAACTGCTTGTGAGAAAATGCATATACTAAAAATTGGGCATACAGTTGCGTTTTGTATCTGGAGCTCTGACTAAACATTCCTAACAGAATCTTTTGCTGTTGTTGTTGTTTTGTTGTTGTTGTTGTTGTTGTTGTTGTTTTTGCAGTGAAGATCTAAAAATGCATGAAAATGTAGTGGAGGTAACGAAATATGTCTTTAACACACACACACACACACACACACACACACACACACAAAAAAAAAAAACTATAAGGACAATAATTTTTCCTTATAAGTGAAACATAGTTTTGGGAGACAATTGTTATTACCCCTATTCCATAGGATAATAAATTAAGAATGAGACAATGCCTAAAACATAACAGTAGTTCAAGAAATACTGCAAATAAAGTGAAATATTGAACATATTTATTTTAGGCATAGAAATTAGAATTCCTTAGCAACTTCCAGTAAAGCTAAGCATAGTCATGGCACAGACTGGATTCTAACAAAAGTGAGTTTTCAATAACTCACCTTAAAAGTGTTTAAAAGTGGATTAAAGTATTTATTTTGTCAAGAATCATTCACAAGCTTAATATACATTTTGCATGAAGCATGATGTTTTTGCCTTCCTCCATTTCTTCCCTCACTTTTACCCAGTTTTTAAAAAAAGAAAGGAAAACACTCTTCTTAGGCAAAAGTGATTTCTTTTGAGGAATTTAACACCCAGTATACATTATATTTTTTAAATCTTATAACCAGGCAAAAAATAATCCTTGCTTCAGTTATATAACATACTGTGTTATGGTTTTCACTCAACATGAACTTAAGACATCACCATTAACAAAAATTTATCTAAGCTACATAAATGATTTTTCAAACTATACACTATGCATGTGCTTTTAAATTGAGAAATCAAAACTCTATTTTAAATATATGATACAAGTGTAAAATCCCCAAATATTACTAAATCCATTCCAAGAAAAGAAATGCACAAGAAGCAGGGAAGATTCAAGAAAAGATGCATTCATAGGTGTACACAGCTTACTTCCTTCTGAGTGAAATCTTCAAGCTTCATTTTTATTTTCCCCACATCCCTGACAAAATTGATGAAATATCTGCCTCTGAGTCTCTTCATCTCATCAACAGTAGGCTTTATGACAATTTTGGGTCTTGCAACAGAACACCAGTCCTAATCATCTGGAGAACATTTTAGAAAGCCCTAAACATTTATTGAGATTGTATGGTGCCATTGTAAGTGCTTTACAGATAGGATGTCATTCAAACCTTACAAAAATTCGCTGAAGGATTATTATCACTATAATACCCATGTTTCTAAAAATTGTTTTACTATAGTTTCAACTCCTCTTCCTCCTAAAATAGTACTTTTATTTATTTATTTTTTTGAGAGGGAGTTTCACTCTTGTTGCCCAAGCTGGAGTGCAATGGCATGATCTTGGCTCACCGCAACTTCTGCCTCCCGGGTTCAAGCAATTCTCTTGCCTCTTCCTCCTGAGTAGCTGGGATTACAGGCACATGCCACCACACCCAGCTGATTTTGTATTTTTAGTAGAGACTGGGTTTCTCCATGTTGGTCAGGCTGGTCTTGAACTCCTGACCTCAGGTGATCCTCCCGCGTCAGCCTCCCAAAGTGCTGGGATTACAGGCATGAGCTACCCTACCGCGCCCTGCCTAAAATAATATTTTTAACATTAGCATGAAGACATCTTTCCTAGGGATGTTGTAATTTGAAGGTGAGACTTTGAGGTCTGCACTTTAAACAAATTCTCCAGGCAATTCTGGTAAAGGTGGTCCACAGATCACAGTTTAAAAAACAATATTTTAATATTCAAAAATATCTAAGTACTTTTAATATCAAAATGAAATCTGTATTTTATTTGCTTTTTATGTTGTGATTGGTTCAGAGATTTAATTAAAATGAAATAGTCCCCTTATATAAAATATAATTTAAAAAATACAATACTTGCTTTGATATTTGCCTTTAAGATATAAACCCATCTCCCAAATTTATATTTTTATTCCTTAATCAGAGAGCCAGACTTCTTTTTAAATCTTTCTTTTGAGTCATACACCAGGTTCTAGCCATAGTAATTCTCTCAGATGTAAGACGGGCTTCAGTCCTGCCAATGTGAGTGGTGTCATATGGAAAGCTCATTGATTCCCTGCAATTTTAGTTAGGTATATTGCTAACAGACTGCGTAGGGAAGGGCTGAGTAACATTCGGCAAATCCTATTTTCCTGTAAGTGGATTTTGTAATGTATTTCAGATTTGGAAGAAAGGAACTGTCATTCCCAGAAAAAGTTTGCTTTTCTCTTCACTTGGTGTTGATCACAATGCAATATGGCATATGTGGTAAGGCAGTGTGTGATGATTCCTTGTCTCATTTCCTTTCTTCCTGTAACTTTAATATAGTCTTTAAATCAGAAAACTTGTATAGATTTATTTTATCTTGATTTCAACTATCTCTCATCATTTCTCTTGGAAAAGATTGGAGAACAGCAATCTGAAAGGCATCTGAGTTTGTAGATTTCTCAGGTAGGTAACTAAGAGGGATACAGTGGTATGGCTGTCATCAATACTGATGTAACATTCAGTGGTATAAATGGGGGTGTTCAGCTCACTGGGGGCAATAGATTAAAAGAAATATAATGATAGGATGTAAATGTTTGTAAACAGGACACTTTCCACACTTTGGAAATCATTAAAGAGGTATTTGTATTGAAATATTGTCTGACATATTCTGATGTCAGATAATATTGCTTTCTTTATATTTGTTATTTTATTTCTCTTCTTCCTTTCAGTTATTATGAAAAGACTGCTTCTCAGACCCTCTTTGTGGTTAGCCAGGACCATGTAATGTTCTTTGGTTAATGCATTTGAATAAATAATGTGTGTGTGTGCATGTGTGTATATATGTGTCATATCCAAGGAGGAAGTTTGAACTACCAGTGCAAGACTATGCTGCACTTATTTCTACCTGTCCCATTAATCATGGAAGCAGGTGTTCACATGGTGCCTCCTGAACCTTTTCCCTTCTGAGTAACTATGATGATCAGAGCCCTCTTCCCACTTACGCTGAATAGGTAACTCAAAAAAGATACACTTTAATGTATTAAGTGACTGAGATTTGGCAGAGGGTGGTTACACTGCAGCGTAACCTGATCTATGGTGATAGACACCCGTATGTTTTTTTAAATCTTTAAAGAATTATAATTTCGGGTTGCATTGGACACAACAAAACATAAATGAAGACAAATAGGTATTATATTTTCAGGATTAACTATACACCATTTATATTACTAAAGGTTTTGGTGCTTTCTCCACAGGGAAACTATTGAAGTTACTGAGAAAATTTGGCCTGAATAAAAAGCTTAAGGGAATGTTGATAGGTGATTTAAAATCTTAAAGGACAACTGGGTTGAGAAAAAAAAAATAAAGATAGAACATTACAATTTTGCAGAGGGTAAACCTATACAAATTAGTGGTATTCAAAAACTATAAGTTCAAAGTGAGGGAAAATAATTTTTGTAACAATTATACATGCCAAAAATCATACTAGATATCTTGTGATATCTTGAACTTTTTTTCATCAGAAGTGGAATGAAGGGAAATACTGCATAATCTTGCCTCACAGAAACAGTTTAACATAAGGCCAGGCACGGTGGCTCACACCTATAATCCCAGCACTTTGGGAGGCTGAGGCGGGCAGATCACCTGAGGCCAGGAGTTCCAGACCAGCCTGGCCAACATGGTAAAACCCCATCTCTACTAAAAATAGAAAAATTAGCCAGGCATGGTGGCAGGTGCCTGTAATGCCAGCTACTCAGGAGGTTGAGGCAGGAGAATCGCTTGAACCAGGGAGGTGGAGGTTGCAGTGAACTGAGATCACGCCATTGCACTCCAGCCCAGGCGACAAGAATAAAATTCCATCTGGAAAAAAAAAAGAAACAGTTTAATATAAACAGTTTAGATATGTGGGCTTGGGAATGCACACAGGCTACTCCTTTGCTATAATTTTTCCAAGGTCATCTACCTCGTAACTGGGAATAGCTGGTTATTCTGATGCTATTCCCAGTTACTAAGTAGATGATCCTGGACAAATTCTCTAGGCCTAACTTTCTTCTCATATAAAATAATGTTAATTTTGATAATAGTGGTATCTACCCTGGTCTCATTACTGGGACTACATGAGTGAAATCAGACAAAACACTGCGAACAGTGGCTGGCACAAGATCATTAAAAGCTCTTAGCTATTATTATTATTATATACCCAAGGGAAGTTGAAGATTGCAGATTTGAGAGATAGAATTAGTTGAATTCTACGGTCCTTTTGAAATTGACAGGCAGTTTTTTGGTTCTTGAATAAGTCTATCGGACAGTAGTCCTAGAAACTAAAATTTTCCTTAAATCTAGCATGTTGGGCAATCATTCAAAAAATTTGTCTTAGAATTGTGTAAAGTTGTGAAGATTTTTTTTTTAGGTAGAATTGAATTTACTTGGACTGTAATTACTGTGGAAGGCAAAATTCTAAGATGACCCCCCAAAAATTTCTCACCCTAATCCTACACTATGAATATGATCTCTGCCCCCTGTTTTTATTCTGTGATTCTTATTTTTACATTACATGGCATAAAAAGATTTTACAGATGTAATTAAAGTTGCTAATCAGTTGACCTTAAGATGGAAAAATTATTAGTGGGCCTAGTTTAATTTTAGGAGCTTTTAAAAGCAGATAATTTCTCCAACTCACAGCAGAAGAAGAAGCAGGGAAATCTGAAGTATGAAGAAAACTCTACATGAGGAAACTTGCTTTTCCTTGCAATATTGTAAAAAGACCCAAAAGAAGTCCCATGGCAGGAAACTGTGAGCAGCCTCTTGGAGTTCAGAGTTGCTTAGTAGCCTGGAACAGATGACTTCATTCCTGCAATCACAGAGAACTGAATTCTGCCAACAATCTGAATGTGTTGGGAGGTAGATTCTTCCCCAGAGCCTCAGATGTAAAGACAGACATCTCACACTATGAGTGTGAGCTCCTGAGCAGAGGACCAAGTTTAACGATGCTGGTCTTTGATACATGCAAATAAATAGCCACAGGTCCATGGAAAAAAAGAGCAAGGGGTAATAAATGAGTGTGTTTTCCTTTTTTAAAGTCACTAAGCTTGTCTTAGTTATGCAGCAATAGAAAACTAGTGCAGTCACTAAAAAATATGGAGGTCGAACTGATTTGGGAAAAGAGTCATTTTTCATAACACTAAAATTAGCTAGACCACTTACTTTGGCAAATGTATGTGTGTGTTACGTGGAGCTGATGAAAAGGACCAGTGTAATGCACCATAGACATCTATTTAGACAGAAATGGAAATCACTATTCTATTGAAAGCATTTTTCACAGAATCAGGAGTGAGTCACCATCTGAAAAAAACTTGACCTTTTGACTGTGAGATGCTAAACTATTTCTCACAAGATTTGATGCCTTATTGAAGCTTTTCTTTCTTCTATGTCTTTCAAATGTGGATTACCATCGGCTAAATCATGGTTATGGTCAGTTATGAATCTAACATTTGAAGAAGCTTTCATATGAAACACCTCTTATTTAAAACAAAACCACTATTTAAAGTTGCAGAGTTGCACAGATTTTTATTTTATTTAGAGTATTAGCCAAGAATAACTATATAAATTGGATTCTATTTATATTCTCAATTGATACTTGGAGTACATATGATAAATAAAAAGACAGATTGGTTACCATAGTCAAAATTCTATACTTTTTTATATCTGTCTCATTGTGCCCCCCTCTATTTGTATTGATTCTTTTTTTTAAATGATTTTACTCTTGACATTTGAAATGTATATACTCCATTACTTTTATTTTAGTTTCTATATTAAAACACATTAAAATAATTCCATGCATTTAAACATATATCTTTAAAAATGAAAGTCCCAAATCAAAACTTAGTTGGCAACAGTTGGGTATGGTGTCTCATGTCTGTAATCCCAGCACTTTGGGAGGCTGAGGCAGGCAGATCCCTTGAGCCCAGGAGTTCCAGACCAGCCTTGGCAACATAGGAAGACCCCATCTTTACAAAAAATACAAAAATTAGCTGGGCGTGATGGTGTGCACCTGTAGTTCTAGTTTCTCAGACTAGCCACCCTGGGAGGTGGGAGGATTGCTTGAGCCTGGCAGATCGATGCTGCAGTTGGCTGTGATTGTGCCATGACACTCCAGCCTGGGTGACAGAGTGAGATCTTGTCTCAACAAACAAATAAAAAGACAGACAAACAAACAAAACCTTAGTTGGCAATTATGATATGTAGAATGCATTTAATTAATTTGGCTTCTTGAAAAATATAGACTGTGGCAACTTGTTGTCTCATTCTGGAAAGACCATTTTCTTCCAACCTAGAAGAGCCTTTAAAGTCTGACCACAGGAATGCTCCATGTAACAGATGTGGATATTAATAATCATAAGTATGAATTGATTTTCCAGTGGTCACCCCTTGCAGATTTAAATATAGATTTTTAATTTCTTTTAATTAAGTATGGTTTCTATTACAGCATTTTATGTTTTCTCGACAGAAATGTTCTGCTGATACTACTTAGTTAGTTTTTTTCCTTCTCATTCAGTAACATAACTTTCCTGGTTCATAGATAAAATCCATGTGGCATCATGTGGCTTTAGGTTCTCATGGAAGTCATTTGCATGCTGTCAGACAAGCGGCCTCAAGACTGCCAGAGAACATGTGAAATCCAAAACTGGTGCCCAACCACATATTCTTTCTGTGGCTCTAAAAATCTGTGGGAAAGTATGATAACTTGTTCTCAAATTGAGGTTCCGTTATGTTCAGGCACCAAAGGGATTGTTAAAATTTGGTCCCCTGAAGAAAATTGTAAGCGAATTAAGGTAGTGTGAAAAAATTAGTGGCAGATTCTGAGTGTTCAATATCCATGAGCTACAATGTGAAGTTGTGTGTGAAACACAAACTAACTGCAATCTCACCAGGTTTTTTTTTTCTGGAATTTCTATTCTATGAAAAGGAGAGGTTAGTGAAATAAACACACAAACACAGACACACAAATATATAACCACAAACACACATAGTGGGAAATATCTAGGAAAGAGCTTATTACAAAAAGCCAAAGGGAGAAAGTTGTCAAATGATTAGTGTTCAAGGGAAGGTCACCAGTGACTGGAGTAGCAACATATGCACCTCAGAGCAAAAGTGGGCAAAGAGTTGAGGGATGGTGAGAAAAGTAGATAGTGGAGCAGAGGGAGAGACAGTGCCACAAATAGAAGTTCTGATCATATTTGAAAATCCCCACCTTCAATCTCTTATGAGAAGAGGGAAAAATTGAGGACGAAATCTGGAGAGAATACTGGAATCTCTGCTAATTAAGTCCAATACAGTAGAATTTGTTGTATTTCTGTCAGTATGTATCCCTTGCACTACCAGGTAAGGTTAAAGAGATAGGTAGTATGACATAAAAATGATAACTTTTACATTGTAGATAAAAATAAAATCCAAAACCAGAAACCAGAAATTAGCCAAGAGAAGAAAATAGTTACATCAAATCTACACCTAAAAATATCTACTGTAAACATATTAATGTATAATCTTTTTAGCAAATACCTGTTCTCATTGATCATTCTTCTTTGGGAAATATTCAAAATGGGATTATGCTGTATATATTGTTTCATAACTTGATTTTTCCAATAATATAAAGTGGGCCTCTCTTTATGTTGTTCAATATTATTTTTGCAGCATGACTTCCATATTTCTATTGTATTCTGTTGAATGCATGTTCTACTTTTCACTGAACTGCTTCCTTATTATTAGGCATATACCTTTTTTCCTTTTTTTAATTCTATGGGCAATTTTATGCCATATATCCTCATAGCTGAATCTTTGCTTACATATTTAATTATTTGTTTGGGATGAATTCCTGGAAATTGACTTACCATTTCAAAATGCTAATATATTGTTAAAGCTTTCAATAGATGACCATACATTGTCTTCCAGCAAAATTGTATATGTTTACTATTTATGAGTCTTGGACACTTAAAAATTAGAGGAAAAATCCCTCAAACCATTGTCTATTATGTTACTTAGTCTTGTCCTTCCTTCCAGCAGCCCCTTGTTCCTCCAAATGACGGGTCCTTAGTATTACTGAATGATGACAATAATAATAATAATACAAATAAAAATAAATGGACTAGTTTAACTATAGGAAAATAGTCTCTACAGAAGTGCACAGAAGTTCTAATGAAGGTTATGTTGGGTATGGAACGTGGATGTAAAGAGAGGAATGAGAGGGAATGGAAGTAGGGTGATATTTAATATTTCTTCTTAAAACATTTCTATACTCCTTGTAGTTTTTCAATAAGTTCATTTTTAAAAGTTATCCTTAGGGAAATATTATGGGAATAGAAAAGAAGGGAAAGAAACTCTCATGTATTACACATAAAACTTGGCCGTAAAAGTTAAAATGCATAATCTCATTTTAATTTCCACTTATCATTTGAAATCGATATTATTCTTTCTCATTTTAAGGTTAAAAAAAAAAAAATCAGTGGCTTATCAAGGTTAAATGACTTGTCCTAAGCCAAATAGCCATACTGCAAGGAAACTAGAACTGAACCCAGGTTGACCTGATCTAGACTAATTTGGAGTGAAGCTGGGAATTTAATACAGAAACCAGTGTTCTTTCCTCTGTGCTGAGCTGTCTATTAGGAGGGCAGTGAGCTGACTTCTGAGATCAAGATGACTGTGTAGAGAAAAGGGGACTGTTGGCTCCTTTGCAGGATCCCAGTTTTGAAGTTAATGAGTTCGAGTGTCTGGGAGAACTGACTTCCCACAAGGTCACACAACAGGAGTCAGTGATTTCTGACTCTGCATATCCAGCACAGTTTCTTGCCAGTTCTCTTGGAACCAGCCTTGTGGTTTCATTTCTTACTGACAAGGCCAAATTCCAGAAATTTATTTCAAGTGAATGAATGCGGGGAAAAAGAGAGTGGTGGTGAATTCTGATACAGAGTGGTTGCTACCTGTCAAGTATTAAAGTAACTGCTTTCTTCTCTGAATTAGCAATAGCTTTTCTTTATTACAATGCATGTCAGAGATACAGTGATGGAGATTTAGCAAAGTATAGTTATGATAAGAAAGCAAGGGGATAAGAAACAATAGCTCTACATATAAGAAGTCCTACAAAATGAATCAGAACGTAGATCCTTAATTCAGACGAATAGAGTTGAAGTTCCTAGAGAGGAGACTTGCCATGCTTAAAATAAACTTTTTGATTCCTGTAGGTGATATATAAAAACAGATGCAATAGAAATATAGAAATCACAGAAATTATTTAGATGTACTTATTTTTAATGTAATGCTTTAGTCAATGAGGATTGTAGTGGAAAAAATGTGAATGCCCTTGCTCTCATAATTGTGAAGTCCAAAGATAGGGTAGGCTTCATGTGTAATAGATTTAGATTTAATCAATAATCACCAAGAATTTATTTCTGCTCATGTTTGTTTTTTTTTGTTTTTTTTTTTTTTTTTGCCATCCAGAGATTTTTACTGGTTTCATTTATTGGCTGAAAAAACTCTGTTACCCATAGTCACCCCCAGTTATAGAGAAAGAGCACATCATTCTCATTGTAAAAAAGACTATACTGTCTTTGGTATCATGTATACTCCTGAGCTAATTACTGTTTCCAGGGATATTCCGTTGGAGCTGGACATGAGGTTCACTGGCCCTGAAGATCCTAGGCTCTGAAGTATATATACACAGGTCCCATAACAAAATTCTAGTCCATTATTTAGGGGAAAAGAAATAAATGGCTTTTGAGTTAGGCATTCAGCAAATTAACGTTTGTATTAAACATATTTAAATTAATGTTGCATCTTAGTGATAACATTTATAGTGAAGATCCAGCTCCTTTGTACATCTATTTATTGAGCTCTCACTGTGTGGAGACATGGTTCATAGCTATGTATACAGATATTATCTCTAAATCTCACAATGACTATCTATATAGGTTTGTTTTCTCATGTCAGCTATCTCTTTCTGATTAACAAACTTATTCAGAACTTAGTGATTTAAAACTACAATCATAAACATTCATTCCCTTATAGTTTCTATGAGTTAGAATGCAAGGGCAGCTTAAGGAGTAGTTCTGACTTGGAATTTCTCATGAAGTTGAAATTAAGAAGTTGGCTAGGACTGTATTCACCTGATCATTTGACTGGGGTTGGAGAACTCACTTCTAAGGCGACTTACCCACATGGCTGGCAAGTTGGTGTTGATGGTTGGCAAGATACTTCAGTTCTCCATGAGAGTCTCTTGATAGAGCTATTTAAATGTTCTCATGACACGACACCTGTTTTCCCTCAAAACAAACAACTCAAGCAAGCAAAATAAAAGTTGCAATGTCTTTTATGAACTAACTCCTAAAAATCCCCCATAGTCACTTTTGCAATATCCTATTGGTTACAATTGTCATCCCTACATAATATGGGCAGGGTCTACACAATGGCATGAATACCAGAAGATGACGATCATTGGGGACCATCTTGGAAACTGGCAACCAAATGTAGGCATTGATATGCCTGTAACACAGATGACAACAAAACTCAAGTTGCTCATGATCACAGACAATCTTCAGTGCACATTTTTTTTCATGACTGAACTAGTAAATCCAGGACAATTTGGCTCCAAAGATTATTCTTTTCCTATTAGAAATTTTTATTTAACCTTCCTCATAACTTGTAGAATATATGGAGCAACTAAGTTGGTCTTATTTCGTAGGTTATGACATTGAGAATTCAGTTGGTTAAATGGTTTGCTCAAGATCAGTCCAGTTATGGCAAATTGTTGATATGGTGACAATCAGGACATATGCACTAGATAGTTTAAACATGCCTTTGAAAATGAAGTTTTCCAGGAGAATGAAAATTCCTTGTGAGTCAGCTAGGTTTATACTGTAGCTGGGGTCGTCTCTTTACTTATAGTTTTTTTTTTATTATTATACTTTAAGTTCTAGGGTACATGTGCACAATATGTAGCTTTGATACATAGGTATACATGTGCCCTGTTCGTTTGCTGCACCCATCAACTCATCATTTACATTAGGTGTTTCTCCTAATGCTACCCCTCCCACGGCCCCGCACCCCTGACAGGCCCTGGTGTGTGATGTTCCCTGCCCTGTGTCCAAGTGATCTCATTGTTCAATTCCCACCTATGAGTGAGGACACGTGGTGTGAAATTATAGTTTTTATACAGATAGCTCAAGAGGGTCTCTCAAGCTTAATTACAGTCTTGAGTCTTTTTATAACAGTACCAAAAAGCATTATTATTATACACTTAAATTCTCTTTCTATAAAACTGACAATTATCATATCAATCTTGAATTGTGCTTATCAACTTCAGTGAATATCAACTAATGGTGCCTAGAACATATTAAGTGATCAATAAGCATTTATTAACATTATTATAACAGTTATTTCACTATTCCTTCATAGGCTAAACTTAACTGATACCTATATACAATGAAACTTAACTTTAGGCATTCAAGGGCAGCTTTAAAAATCTGGATTTAGAGTTGGTAAGAGGAATTCAGCAATACTCCCACATCATTTGTTCTCCTGATTGTGTATTTTAAGTATTTATTCCTTCATTCTCCACCCTCTCCTATTGTGTGTTTTAAGTGTGTATTTCTTCATTCTCCACCCTTTCCCAATCTACCCCCAGCCCCTTACCTCAATCTATTCCCAAGTCCCTTGGACTTCAAAGAAGGAAACTGCCTATGAAGGCATTAGTGTTTCTTAAGGCCAGTATACCCAAAATTATTCATATATTTACAAGATAAACAAGGAAAACAACATTTTTATTTGAATAGATGAATGGATACTGTGACAATTTTTGGCTAATAATGGGATTGCAAAAAAAAATGTCAGAGTAGCACTATTAAGAACCTCGAGAACCTTCCTTTTATATGCAGGCCACTGAAAAATTTATCAAATTTTTAGGCTTATGATAATGGCTGGTTGGATCACAGAATAAATCACAAATATACCACTTTCTAAATTGTTTGTTTTGTATACTTTAATTCTATTGTAGTCTTAAAGCCTGTCTGTTAATAATAGTAATAAAATTAATGGTAATATTAATAGGTCCGAGTATAGACCCTTTAACAATCATTTGTATTCTAAGCACTATCTCTATCCCTGAATTACTATGTAAATGAGCACTGTCTCAAGAGTGGCAGACAAAACATACCTACCAACCCTCAATATGCATTTGTTTTTCTTTCTGGCAGAGTCCTGATTTGGTTAAGGTGTTCATCCTCCAGTGTACTTGGAATGGTGACTATTCCCAGTAATAAGGGTAAACGAAATATGGTGGTTCAATTCTGTTGCCAGTGTTATAATCCAATTCTAGACAAAGTGACACTAGATGACATCTGGCCAGACAGAAGCTTTTGCTAATGATTTTCTTCATTAATTAAAATTAACACATTGAAAACACTATTGTTTGCTAGACATTGTTGGTTCAATACAGCCATGAGAAGAAACAGCCTTGACATGTTGAGGAAGGAGAAGTGGAGAGATGGAAAACTCCCATTTCTTTGAATACAAGACAGAACTTCTTAATTTAACCAACCCTGGAACTGGCCTACTGCCAATTTGAAGAACTGGAGGATAAGAGGCGTATGTATCAAACATACCCTCAACATACTTATCCAGAGCCCCAAAGGCCTTCTCTTACTTTGCTGCTGAAATTCTATGAGATCAGAAAGAGAGGTAAAGTTAATTACTGCCTTTATTACCATGTATTAGTCCAGGACCACTGCAAAATGGCCCCAGTCTTGACATAACATAGGCCACTACTTGTGATGTTTCATGTGGACACTCATTGATGGAAGCGTTTTATGTATACTGCCAACAAAACCAAAACTCAAACCTTTTCCTTGAGAAATATACATGTCAGACCTAAATTGCTAACCCTAAGGAAACCAGGCGTTTTCCCTTCTTTGTTACTTGAGACTCTGCTGCCCATCCCAACTTTGGGAGAGCTGAGGCCCATGGTGACCAATGAGGTCATGAAAAACTTTACCATTCTATTTTATGTTTTAATTAGTGTGTGCTTCTACTGTTTCCTTATGATCCAGGGAAACCTGAACTGTAGTACAACACAGAAAACCCATCTGGTTATAATAATCATAGCTGACATTTATTGAGCTAAGGTCACTATATGCTGTGCACTAATCTCATCAATTCATATGAAATTAATACAGAAATTCTCACAGAGAGACACAGAAATGCAGAAGTGTTCAGCAAATTTCTTAAGATCACACAGTGAACTAGTAACACATCTGAGAGTTGAAGGCAAGTTGTTCAATAATCTGAATTCCTAAACATTACTCTGTACTGGTATAGAATTCATAAAACTGGTTTAACTCCTTTGATTCTTAAAATGGTTCATGAGAATATATTTTTGAAAGTCTCAGGAGCAGTGAGAGTAAGTTCCAAAGCAGAGTAAATGGCAGCATTTTGAAGGGTTTAGAAATAGACTGGGTCATTTAAGAGAATGTAGAATATAGAAACTTAGGTAGGCAGAGGGTATGGGAAAGACAGAAAACCCCAGAAGGAAACATAATCAAACTGGCTAATTCCTGGTTTCTTTCTCCTTTTTGGTCATCCACTTTGTCAAAAAAGAGGAAAAACAGATTCCATATATCAATAGAGGGGCATAGGGATTCATCTGTCAACTAGTGTTAAAGCTTCTGTTAATTGATAAAACGTGTCGGTCTTTGAGCTCTTGCTATCTCAATGGATGCCTGCCTTCTAATTCAAATATTCTCTTGAGACAATAATGATGATGTGGGATAATATCCATGGATTTATGCTGTAAATAAGACAGAGAAACCCCTACTTCCACTGATTGTCACAATACAGGGAAATGGAGGGGTGGCTTATATGTGAGATCTATGACACACGACAGAAAAAATAGAAAGCCAAAATTTGTGATTGAGATAAATCTTATAGCTTTATCTTACATGCTTTACATTTGCTAATACAATTTAATGTCATTTAGTAAATGACTTATTCTAGCTGGTAAAATAATGATACAATATTAGATCACTGCCTCTACAAGGAATTTCTGTGAGTTTAGGCAGGTGATTTAACTCTTAAATGCCAAAATATATTTCCTGGTTAAGTCATTACAAAATGGCTGACTTTATGCATGAGTTATTCATAATACTTAAAAAGTACATGGAACATATATTTTATATCCCAATTGAAAAATACAGTAGAGGAAGTTAGATTTATCTTTATAAGTAGTTTATGTGATGTAACTAAACACATTAACTATCAAAATATCATAAAACTGTGTTCATTTTTTCCCCAACTCTTTAATCTGCTCTTATTTTTTTCAATAAAATAATGAAGAAGCTTAAATGGTGTTTTTTGTTTTGGTTTCTGCTACGAGTGTGACATATAGAAAATAAATCTAAAACTCAAAATGAGCAAGACTCATCAGCACTGAGAACTGAGAACCAATTTCTTAATTTACCATGCTTCCTTGTGCTTCCAGAACTACTGTCCAAAATGAATATATAAAAAAAAATGTGGTTCTAATGCACGGCATAGCTTCACTGCCTGTTGTCATCAGCAGCTCCACAAGCTGAACTGGAGAAAGCTGCTAGTTTGTGAGTTGAGTGTTAGTTTCTCAAAGAATCTCTAGAACTGAACTCCTTTGCTTGTTTACTAAGAATAGATGCGAATCAAATGCCTAGGCACTAAGCGAAGGTTGGAAATAATATTAATACTTGTGTGTGTGAAGGTTGTGCTTTGTTAAATTGCTATATTGTCTTTTAAATTTATCTACAGCCTACCTATAAAGGCAAAAATATATTAGAACCAGTGTACTAAAGGTTTTATAAGGCAGGTGTAAAATTGCTTAGATAGTATACGAAGTTATATTTTAAATTTTATTTTTATCTTAAAATGGAAAATATTACAGGTCCATGTAAATACAAAAAGGCATAAACACAATGTTGGTTTTTTTTATTGTGGCTTTCTTCCACTTTTTATTCTGGTTTTTTAGACTGGTTGCTATGAATGCTGTTGTAAGAAGCTCTAATTTTTAAACTAAGGCTAGACAAATATTCTTTAATAATAATATCTAACACTTGATTACTTGTTAAGAGCCAAGTGTTCTCCTAAGCAGTTGAATGGAGTAATTTATTTAATCTTCACATTAACCCTGAAAGGAATGTACTGTAATTTGCTTGTTTGGTGGTTGAGGAAACTAACACAAAGAACTTGTTCAGAAATTAGAAAAGTTGATCCAGATCTTATAAAAAATAAATGGTGGAGGTGGGTTTGGAACCCAGGCAGTCTGATTCTCTAAATCCAGTCTCTAACTTTACATAATTTCTCTCCAGAAAGAGAAACATTGAGTCGGAGACATTTGTTAAGCCTTATGAGGCACACAGCAACATCAGAGTCCTAATTCTTCTCCTTAAAACATTTCCTCTTTGATTCTGATCTCTTTAATATGTGATGTGATTTGAAAAGAATATTTAAGATGAGATGTGTATTTTGGCTGATACAAAATAGAAACAAAAAACCTCTTTTAGTCTAGACAACATGCCTTTATTAATGCAGCTCAAACTTGCTTTGGATTTTCTGCTTATACTAGTGTATCAAATTAAAATCATGGTCATTGAAACCCTAGTCTTTTCCTTGGGAGGAAATGAGAAATAAAACTCATTGAGACAGAGAAAGGGATGACAGGTGCTGTATAGACAAAGAAGCCAGGAAGGTTTAAGGGCAGATAGGAAATCAACACATCAAAGCGCAGTTGAAGATAGGAGGCGCTAGTGAGATAGCACAAAGGTTACACTACTAGTCAATTATTTCATCGTTTACTAAATTATGTTCAATTGTATTACCAAATGTAGAGCATGTAAGATAAGGCTGTAAGGGTGATGGTAAAAGGCAGAATAGCTGAGCTTGCTAGGCCTGTATTTTCCTAGGTGCATTCATCTGCTAAAAGTGAAAGAGCTCAGCGTGGAATTGAGGCTTTGAAGTGTGCAGGGATTTTATTTTTAACAACTGCTGTGGAAGATTATAATGGGGAGTTAACATATTGGTCTTTATTTATAATTTCTATATATTTCAATGAAGTTGCCACAGAAACCCTGTCATCTTGTACTGCACCTCAATTCAGATTTGACAGTAGGAGTGTGGGAGAGAGGGTGAACTGTGTACATGAGTTTTAATTAATCTCATGGCTGATAGATGTAAAATGGAAATATTCTGGGTATAACCCCTGTTTCTCTATTCTCAACCTCAAAAGAAGCAGCTATGTAATTCCGAAAGTACTCAGGAAGTGTCTTCTGTGTGCTCAAAAAAAGAAATCAGAGACCGCAGAACATCTGCTATCTTCTTCACCATCCTCAGCCTTCTTAGTGGATGGTAATTGCTGCTTTCTGTGGTGAATGAGCCCTGTGCCTCAGTGGACACCAATCCCCATTCAAGTTCACCAGACTGCACAACCCATGTGGCTTCAGAGAGCACTCCCACCCCCCACTATCATTGTCACTGCGGGCTGCGTTTATCTTCCACTGCTACTCAGCAACAGGGGGCTACCTTGTCTACCAGAAAATGCTGTTACCATCAGCCCAGCTGAGTTCTGCAGCAGCCAAGTCTCTGGAGCCCCGGTGTGTGATGTGTAATCCCAGCACTTTGGGAGGCTGAGGCAGGCAGATCACCTGAGGTTGGCAGTTCGAGACCAGCCTGACCAACATGAAGAAACCCCATCTCTACTACAAATACAAAATTAGCCGGGCGTGTTGACGCATGCCTGTAACGCCAGCTACTCGGGAGGCTGAGGCGGGAGAATCACTTGATACCGGGAGGTGGGGGTTGCAGTGAGCTAAGATTGCGCCACTGCACTCCAGCCTGGGTGACAAGAGCAAAACTCTGTCTAAAAAAAAAAAAAGAAAAAAAGAGACGTTGTATCTGCAGGGGTTTCCTGCACTGTTTGCGTTTGGCCCAATGTCTTCTGTGAAACAACTTTTTTTTTCAGGTTTTGTTTTCTTGTTTTAATAGCCCTTTGCTCTTCAGAAAACCCAAGCATGCATAGGGGAGCTGGGCTGGGAGAGAAAACCAAGTAATCATCTTAAAAATCAGAATATCTCTTCGCTTTGAATACCTGTGGTTTTAATATTGGCCCAAGCTTTTTGTGCCTGATTTGGCTTTCTTTAGAATGTGCTTTGTTTTGTTGACTGTAGATAGGCTTTTGATGCCCCTGTCCCCACCCAGCAGGGGACAGATATGACAAAAACACCTTGGCGGTGGACACAGCACAGGATCAGGCCAGCCTCCTGTTACATGGTAATGTCACGTTCTACTGCCGGTTTTGAGCTGCTTAGGAAAAGGTATCCAAAAAATGAATAGTCAGCCCTGTGTTGTTCTGTTAGTGCTCACGCTGTTGCAAAAAAAAATCTTTCACCAGGTATTCATAAGCCCCCAGAATGTATGCGTTTTTCTCCAGAGTGAAAAAAAGCAATCCCTCAGAGTTTTAACCTTTGGAAGTAACATCTGTCATTGGAAGGTTACTTGTGTGAAGTCCGCAAGCTACCTTTGGTGAAAGAGGGACAAGATGGCAACTTTACTGATTTCTCCCAAGCCTAGTCTATATCAATACTATTTATTCAAGGTTCTATGTTGTGGAAAGTTCCTTCCTGCCTATTTGCTGATCTGCTGAAAGTGATGGCTATACCCTCATGCTGGTCACCTACAGGTCCTAAGGGTCATGCAATCCTTATAAAAGGACATGAGTCTGAATGTGGGCGATGGAGACACAAAGCTCTCTGTCTCTCTTAGGTCTGCTCATTACCATTCCCCAAATTAGTCTCCCCAAAAGGAAATCTTCATAGTTTCACTTCACCTTTTTAATCCCCATGAAAATGGTATAATGACTAAACTCCTAAAATGAAATTGTGTTTTAAATAAAGGGAAGAAGGGAGGCGGGGAAGACATTTCCATTCTGAAGAATCTCAAATTGTGTCTCCTATTGTGGCTGATCTTTAAGATGCACGTGGGAAAAGCCCAGGCTTTTTGGAAGGGTGGCTCCCCTCCCAGACACAGAGGCCATGCACAAAGTCACTTGGTAATGAGATTCTTCACAGAGCAAACTGCACTGTCCATTCATATTTCTTTTCCACCTGTCCCCACAATGGTGTCTGTTTGCTCAGCCCACATGCAACAAGGCTGTGTTTGTAAGTAAGGGCCCATTCATTGGCTGACTACTTAGAAGTCTTGACAGAAAATCTCATGAAAAGCTTCTCAATTCAAATTCCTCTTTAATGACTTGCTTCATTCACCAGGGATGGCAGGGGGAGGGTCCCTGGGGCTTGACTTCTTCCACTATGGAAGACAAGAAAGCATTTTTTATAGGGCTCCTGACGTGCCATGGTTATTAAACGACAGGTTATGGTGAAAGATTGAAGGAGGAATCGTCTTCTTTTTTTTTTGAAATAGAAACTTAATTAAGCTCATAAAATATGTAATCTCCAACTATCACTGGTGCTTGCATTTTGAAAGAAAAAAAATTGAGTTGTTATTTAAGTTTTCATTTTGACTTTTTCCCCTTCAGCAGAAGGAGTCTCTCCCCCAAGCCGTATCCCCTCACCCTAGCCTCCAAGGATTAGGAAGTTGCATGATTCCTTTTCTCTTGAGCTGCTTAAATATCATATTGTGAGAGAATTACATTTGTAGTTACTGTTGGTAACAAAGCCAAAGTTCAAACTACAACTATCTAGATTTGATGGTCTGGGATGCCATTTAGTTACTTAAGGTACATGAAACATGGAAAAATATCTCTGTGTATTTGATTCTCTCTTTGATCTCTTTGTGTGTGTCTTCTTAATTTTTCGAAGAAAGCCATTGGGTACTAGATAAGCAACTACTTAAACTTTCCTTAATAAGTGCATGATATGCAAAGTTACAGTGGAGCAAAACAGGAGTGTTTCTGAGCCTAGTTCCAAGCATTATCTTTCTTAAGTAACTTTGTTCAAATCCGCCCACCCAAGGTTAAAGGAATTCCCCCATAGACTTCCTTATACCCTGTGCTTCTTCTTTCATATTACTCATCACCATCAGTGACATATTTTAATTCTTGAACTTCCCCCTTTAGCATGCATTCTCCATGAGTTCAGGGACTGTGTCTGACACATTCACTGCAGGATACTCTCCACTTAGAATAGCACATGGTGTGTAGTATATGCGCAGTGTGTATTTCTTGAGGGAAAGAATGACTAATTCACAGACTGCCACTCTTTACATTTCCAAAGAGCCTTTTAACAAAAATATTTCGAAGAGGAGTAGATACTAAATGGGAGAAAACAAAGTGAAGTCTCAATTTTACCATTAAAATGCATTGCTTCTTCCCTTTGTATTACAGCATTAACTGTATTAGAGTGCAAAGTACTGAAGGTGAGACAAAGATACTACTAGCTTTCTGTGAGCTTAAGAACTAGTAGTGGTAATAGTAAAGGTAGAATCGTTGTATGTTATAAAAGAGAGAGAAACAAAGTGCTCTGGAAATCCAGACAAGACAAATTTTACTTGAAGGATCAGGATGTCTTCATGAAAGAGCTTTGAGGGTGAAGTAAGTGAGCCTCTAGACTGAGGTGAAAAATTTAATGAGGCATCAAAAAACTCAGTAATCAAAACAAACAGTAATTTAATGCAGTATTTTTCTTTCTTTTTTTTTTTTTTTTTTTAGAGAAAGAAATAAGGGGGCCCAGGGGGCCAGCGTTCAGCATACGGAGGATCCCGCCAGCCTCTGAGTTCCCTTAGTATTTATTTATTTTATTTTATTATTTTTTTTTAATTTATTTTTTTATTGATAATTCTTGGGTGTTTCTCACAGAGGGGGATTTGGCAGGGTCATGGGACAATAGTGGAGGGAAGGTCAGCAGATAAACAAGTGAACAAAGGTCTCTGGTTTTCCTAGGCAGAGGACCCTGCGGCCTTCCGCAGTGTTTGTGTCCCTGGTTACTTGAGATTAGGGATTGGTGATGACTCTTAACGAGCATGCTGCCTTCAAGCATCTGTTTAACAAAGCCCATCTTGCACCGCCCTTAATCCATTTAACCCTGAGTGGACACAGCACATGTTTCAGAGAGCACAGGGTTGAGGGTAAGGTCACAGATCAACAGGATCCCAAGGCAGAGGAATTTTTCTTAGTGCAGAACAAAATGAAAAGTCTCCCATGTCTACTTCTTTCTACACAGACACGGCAACCATCCGATTTCTCAATCTTTTCCCCACCTTTCCCGCCTTTCTATTCCACAAAGCCGCCATTGTCATCCTGGCCCGTTCTCAATGAGCTGTTGGGCACACCTCCCAGACGGGGTGGTGGCCGGGCAGAGGGGCTACTCACTTCCCAGTAGGGACGGCCGGGCAGAGGCGCCCCTCACCTCCCGGATGGGGCGGCTGGCCGGGCAGGGGGGCTGACCCTCCCCCACCTCCCTCCCGGAGAGGGCGGCTGGCCGGGCGGGGGGCTGACCCCCCCACCTCCCTCCCGGACGGGGCGGCTGGCCGGGCAGAGGGGCTCCTCACTTCCCAGTAGGGGCGGCGGGGCAGAGGCGCCCCTCACCTCCCGGACGGGGCGGCTGGCCGGGCAGGGGGGCTGACCCCCCCCACCTCCCTCCCGGACGGGGCGGCTGGCCGGGCCGGGGGGCTGACCCCCCCCCCACCTCCCTCCCGGACGGGGCGGCTGGCCGGGCAGAGGGGCTCCTCACTTCCCAGTAGGGGCGGCCGGGCAGAGGCGCCCCTCACCTCCCGGACGGGGCGGCTGGCCCAGCAGGTGGGCTGACCCCCCCCCACCTCCCTCCCGGATGGGGCGGCTGGCCGGGCGGAGGGCTGATACCCCCACCTCCCTCCCGGATGGGGCGGCTGGCCGGGCGGGGGGCTGACCCCCCCACCTCCCTCCCGGATGGGGCGGCTGGCCGGGCGGGGGGCTGACCCCCCCACCTCCCTCCCAGACGGGGCGGCTGGCCGGGCGGGGGGCTGATACCCCCACCTCCCTCCCGGACGGGGTGGCTGGCCGGGCGGGGGGCTGACCCCCCAACCTCCCTCCCGGATGGGGCGGCTGGCTGGGCGGAGGGCTGACCCCCCCACCTCCCTCCCAGACGGGGCGGCTGGCCGGGCGGGGGGCTGACCCCCCCACCTCCCTCCCAGACGGGGCGGCTGGCCGGGCGGGGGGCTGATACCCCCACCTCCCTCCCGGACGGGGCGGCTGGCCGGGCAGAGGGGCTCCTCACTTCCCAGTAGGGGCGGCCGGGCAGAGGCGCCCCTCACCTCCCAGACGGGGCGGCTGGCCGGGCGGAGGGCTGACCCCCCCACCTCCCTCCCGGACAGGGCGGCTGGCCGGGCGGAGGGCTGACCCCCCCACCTCCCTCCCGGACGGGGCGGCTGGCCGGGCAGAGGGGCTCCTCACTTCCCAGTAGGGGCGGCCGGGCAGAGGCGCCCCTCACCTCCCAGACGGGGCAGCTGGCTGGGCGGAGGGCTGACCCCCCCACCTCCCTCCCGGACGGGGCGGCTGGCCAGGCGGGGGGCTGACCCCCCCACCTCCCTCCCGGACGGGGCGGCTGGCCGGGCTGAGGGGCTCCTCACTTCCCAGTAGGGGCGGCCGGGCAGAGGCGCCCCTCACCTCCCGGACGGGGTGGCTGGCTGGGCGGGGGGCTGACCCCCCACCTCCCTCCCGGATGGGGCGGCTGGCCGGGCGGGGGGCTGACCCCCCCCACCTCCCTCCCGGACGGGGTGGCTGCCGGGCGGAGACGCTCCTCACTTCCCAGATGGGGTGGCTGCCGGGCGGAGAGGCTCCTCACTTCTCAGACCGGGCAGCTGCTGGGCGGAGGGGCTCCTCACTTCTCAGACGGGGTGATTGCCAGGCAGAGGGTCTCCTCACTTCTCAGACAGGGCGGCCGGGCAGAGACGCTCCTCACCTCCCAGACGGGGTCTCGGCCGGGCAGAGGCGCTCCTCACATCCCAGATGGGGCGGCGGGGCAGAGGCGCTCCCCACATCTCAGACGATGGGCGGCCGGGCAGAGACGCTCCTCACTTCCTAGATGTGATGGCGGCTGGGAAGAGGCGCTCCTCACTTCCTAGATGGGATGGCGGCCGGGCGGAGACGCTCCTCACTTTCCAGACTGGGCAGCCAGGCAGAGGGGCTCCTCACATCCCAGACGATGGGCGGCCAGGCAGAGACACTCCTCACTTCCCAGATGGGGTGGCGGCCGGGCAGAGGCTGCAATCTCGGCACTTTGGGAGGCCAAGGCAGGCGGCTGGGAGGTGTAGGTTGTAGTGAGCCGAGATCACGCCCCTGCACTCCAGCCTGGGCACCATTGAGCACTGAGTGAACGAGACTCCGTCTGCAATCCCGGCACCTCGGGAGGCCGAGGTTGGCAGATCACTCGCGGTTAGGGGCTGGAGACCGGCCCGGCCAACACAGCGAAACCCCGTCTCCACCAAAACCAGTCAGGCGTGGCGGCGCGTGCCTGCAATCGCAGGCATTCGGTAGACTGAGGCAGGAGAATCAGGCAGGGAGGTTGCAGTGAGCCGAGATGGCAGCAGTACAGTCCAGCTTCGGCTCCGCATGAGAGGGAGACCGTGGGGTGAGGGAGAGGGAGAGGGAGAGGGAGAGGGAGAGGGAGAGGGACTAATGCAGTATTTTTCTAAAAATCCATATAAACACCAAAAAACATGATGAACAAAATATTAACATTTTAATAAAGACAGGACCAGTATTGCTGATTTTTGCTTTTGCCTCAGGCTCCGTTATGACTTGGAAAGTCATTGGTAGTTAATTTTAAAGAGATAATATTTTGCAAACAGAGATTTAGGAGAGTTGGTCACAGCACTGAAGAGAAAATGAAACGATGCTTTGGGAGTATAGTGGGCAATTGTGATATTCTAGGTCACAAGTCAAAGACTTAGATCACGAATTTAGGGTAAGACTAAATTATGAACAACTTAGAATCTCTGGCTCAAAATCTGGCATTATTATTAAAACAATGAAGAACTGTTGAAGACTTTTAAGCAGAGAAAGTAATATTATTTTGAAAATAATAATGAATACATTTTTAAAGTTCAATATGAAATTTAATCTGACAACAGAATAGAAATCTCTTCTGTTATTTTTGTTTCTTTCTTTAATAGGCAATTTATCGGAAAATGTTACCGATTTGTGCCATTTGATGTGCATCAAACTCGAAAACAAAGTTTGTATTTGATCCAAGTACTTACAGACTTTGTTTAATTTGTCCTACTACAAAAATAGTAATGAAAATGCTGGATAAATTGTATCACCACTGAGAGATCACTACCTAATTAGACAATGCTTAAGCAGAACTACTGAAAGGTTCTGTCTCTCTCAACTTTGCCTCTTCTGTGATTGCGTAGCTTCCCCTCCCTTGTTTCTGAGTAATGCATGTATCCCTTGGATATATTAACACTTCAATAAGGTTACAGTCCATTCCACATTTCCTCTCAAATATTTATCTATTTGAGGTGATAGTCAATTTCTGTTATAACCTATTATGTGCTTATTTCAAAGTTTATCTCTGAGAAGGCAGGCATTGTATCCTAATTTCCAATTTTTGAGTCATCCTCACTGCTGTACCCAATTTAAATATATGTTGTTTGAATTTAACAGTGTTTCCTGAAATGCAATGGTGAATTGTATATTACATTATATTACAGGATCAAGGTTAAATTTTCTGAAATTATTAGGAGTAAAAGGGCATGATATCTGCAATGTACTGTCAAATGTCAATAAATAAAAATAATGGTATAGAGTAAAAGTAGTGGAAGTAAATAGTATACAGTAAACAACTGGGAAAGCAACAGTGTCAAGATATCAACAATGGTGAATCTGGGTGAAAAATATAGGGCAGTTTATCGTTCTTATCTTGCAAATTTTCTGTAAGCTTAAAATAACCAAAGACAGAGGAGAACTAGCCTATCCTAAATGATTTATATGTATATTAAAAACTCTCTCCTCTGATGAAATTGGGGGGAGTTTTTGTTTAGCTAAGTCATGAAAGTCATAAAAAGATGGAATTATAAGAAAATTATTTAATATCTGACAGAAATAGCATCCAGTCACTAGTCTATGGTTCCAGAGACATGCCTTTCTTGGAGTTTCTTTACATCACTTAGGAGTTCTGAGTCACTGTGCTTGCATAGACCATTGTTATATTATAATATTTAATTATCTTTTCAGTTTCTCTAAAGTAGAGATAGCATTACGAAAAAGAAAAACTTGCAAGGCAATTTAAATACAAAACTCTTTTGGTTTTCATAATTTTTCTCTCTGCTTTTTAGGTTTTTCCCACCCCCATCAATTTGACAACAAAGCTTTTAGCAACTCACTAACATCAAAACTTTACAAAGCATTCAACTAGGTTCTCATAGAAAGGGAATTCTTTCTTTTTCAGCACACGTTTCATCAGTTTATTTAGTATTAAAGTAAATGACGTAATTCCAATAAGAAGTAGATAGGTTTGGGAAACAGTACAATCAGCACTTGGCAAGCATCCACTTCAACTCACAGGAGCAGAGGTGCATATCCTTACTAAAGCACAGCAGCAAATACACAGTGGGCTGTGAATAAGCATAGCACATTTACAGAGAATCGAGAGAATCAGCTAATTCAGTGGTTCCACTAACTTGACGGCATTTAAGAGGGTTTTTACTACATTCTAATTTTGTTTTAATATCCAAACAAAAATTTTAAAACTTCAAATTGTTTAAATTTAAGTTGTTATCAGTGATGACTCATAACAACCTCAAATTCCTCTTCCTCCCAGGCCTCTCTCTGCCTCTACCATAAAAATAATTATAGATTGGGAAATTAAATTTTGCTAAAGATGTAACAAGTAGTATTTTACATGAAATGTTAAAGGGGGATAGAAACAGTGATATACTGGGGCTTTCAAGGGCAGAGGTGCAAGCAAAATTTGCTAATTAGATACATGATTGCTGACTCTTTGGACTAATGGACATAGTTAAGTTCTGGTTAGCTTTGGATAGCTGGGGATGTCAAGGTAGAGGAAGGTGTCAGGAGAACATAAAAGGATTTTTGTAAAGAAAGAAGAATTCTCCTCTGCACTGCACCCTTGAAGATCTGTGGCCTCGGAAAGGGAAGAAAAGAGAAATAGAGAGAAGCCAGGAATTGTTCATAAAGATTGACACGACATTCCCACATCATTGAAGAGAGGACGTTAGTTCCAGAGTTCAGTGACCTGTGGTAGAATCTGTGAGAAAGTTTTGATTTCTTCCTTCTGAGAGGAACCTGAGATTTATAGGAAAAAAATCCCCTTAGTTCTCCAAGGACCTAAGCAAAAGAAAACACAGTAGGCCCAGGAAAGGAAGTCAAATAAACTAATAGAAGCCTAAAGTGAAGTCACTTAATATTTTGGAGAAGATTCCAGTGTGGTAAGCCTTGGGCAAGTTGCAGCCTTAAAGTTTCATGCTGAATGTTGCAAATGAAGCTCTCCAGTAAAGCAAAGTACCTCACAAATTTTAACATGCAATTAAAACTGCTAAGTGTTAGTAAATAATTTCCCCAGTGACACTTCAAATTCTAAATGCTGAGTTCAAACTGATAATGTTATCCCAATCTCACTGTGACTACATTGACCTGTTACCTAATTCTGTTTATGGTCCCATGATTTCAGCAAAATTATTTTTGATTCTACCTTTATATACAAGCTGCTCTAATGACTGTATACTCATGATGTTCTTGGAAAACTTATTCCATTTTCATATAAATCCAGTCAAAACACTGATACCTAATTGAACCAGAATGTGCTTTCCTATATATATCAACCATCAGTTTGTTTATTTTGGTCCAGTAAAATAAGTTCATTTCCCTTCTAGACAATAGCCTCTCAAATATATGAATAGTTATCAAGTCTTCATAAACAAATTCTTGTTGTCTCTGAAAGAAAAAATAAACTTATTGCTTCTAGAAAATTTTCTTCTCTTTATAAATAGCATTGGATTATTTGAAAATTTCAATGTTTATTGTTTGAAATAAAGATGTACTTTTTATTCAGCCCGACTGCATAATTTAGAATGCTTTTATATTTCTAAATTCATGATGGATCATAAATTCACTTTATTTTACAAAATACCCTCTCTCCTAAACTTAGTGATCCTATTTTCCCATTCATGTATTTATAACAGATCAAACAAACTGGTGACTTTTTGACTATAGGATATAGATTGATAACTGGATATAGAAACTACCAGAAAATCTCTAAGACATTATGACATTTTAAGGCAATTCAAGTAGGTAGGAAATTAAAAATAATAAAGTGGGCTTCAACTGTGATTGTTGAAGTGAGTAAATTTACGCAGGTTTGATGCAATGTAACCTTAATGAAAAAGAATGCTAAAGTTGTTTACAATTATAAGAAAGTTTGATATTATTGTTTTTACCTTTCTCCTAATCTGTTGGCGGCTATAACTCATTTCTCTGCTTTTAAGTGGTTCTGAGAGAATAAAAATAATCAGTGGAAAACAGTGTGAAGATTTCTCAAGTAAATAAAAATAAAACTACTATCTGATCCAATAATCCCACTATTAGGTATATACCCAAGGGAACAGAAATCTTTTTATGAAAAAGACACTGGCATTCCTATGTTTATCACAGCACTATTCACGATAGCAAAGATATGGAGTCAGCCTGTCCATCAAATAATGATTAAAGAAAATGTGGTATATATACATAATGGAATACTATTCAGGCATAAAAATAAAAACATGTCTTTTGCAGCAACATGGATGGTACTGGGAGCCATTATCTTAAAGGAGGCAACTCAGAAATAGAATGTCAAATACCACATTCTCACTTATAAATGATAGCTGAATAACGTACACAAATGAACATAGAGTGTAAAACAATAGTCACTGGAGACTCACAAGGGTGGAAGGGCAAGGGTGGGTGGGAGATGAGAAATTACTTAATGGGTACAATGTACACTATTTGGGTAATAGTCATACAAAAAGCCCAGAGTTCACCAGTACAAATTGTATCTATGTAAAAAAACTGCACTTGCACCCCTTAAATTTATTCAAGTTAAAAATAATGATCAATCAAGAGAAAAATATATATTCTTGTGTTTGTTTTATTTTGTTGTTTTATTTTGGCCTTATTACTCATAGGCCCTACGTTTAGAGACTGAATCACTTGGATGGCTACAGGTCACTTGGATACTGCCTGTTGCCCATATCCATTCTGTTTCTTTCTTAACAATTCAATAATGACTGCGTTTAGCTTACAGGTGGTGAGTATCCAGCTTAAAAAAAAAAAAAGTTCACTTTCCGGGGTTCAGACATCTAGGGACAGCCATGTGACACATTTCTGTCTAATGTGATTTTGAAAGAAGTCCCAGGAGAGCATGACTTCTGGGAAAAAAAGACAAGGCCTTGCTAGGAGAGAGACCTTCTTCCCTTCTTTTATCTCTTTCTTCTGTCTGTAATTTGTACTTGAAATCTGGAGCCCCAGCAATCATTTTGTTGACAAACTGAGGCAGCGACAAGTATAAAGAACTGCAAACTAAAAACTGCTGAGCAGGAAGATGGGAAGTACATGGCTTTCTGGTAACATTACTGAGCTACAGTGCCAGCTCAATAATAACTAGTACCACATTTATTGCTGCAGAAGACGCACACATTTCTTACCTGTCGGTATTCCTATTAGTTGGATTTTATCTTATTTGCAGCTGAATACATCTCCTGATTGATATAAGGGTGTGTCTTTCCCAAGGCTATCTCTGGGTTATTACTGATCTAGATTATTAAAAATTAAAAGTAATATTAAAAGGTAATAGTGAAATATAAAAGCTTTGGGGGTCCTGTCAATCATCTGTTATTTCTGAATACCAGATTCTGCGGATAAATATGCTTCCTGATCTATCTATACATTAAATTCTTATCATTATATTGAAAAGGATCCTTAACATATTTTAAAGTGATCCATTTATAAAATTTTGCCATGGTTTAGGTATCAAAAATGTAAAACTTTTTACTTCTATTAGTGTATTGAAATATATAGTAAACAGGCAGAGAGTATTTTCCATTTATCGTTAGTAGAAATGTGGTTAATATACTGCACAAATACTTCAGCAAGGGCAGGGATATCATTTCATATGTTATCAAAAATGTTTGTTTTTGCCAAAAAATCTAAGTTTTTATTCAATACTAAGGTGACTTCTACTTGTTCCACCCTCTTCTTCATTAACTTTATTTCTTTTATTCTTAGCAAACACTGATACTTTTTAAATTCTTCCAAGAAAATAGAGCTGGAGAGAATACTTCTAAACACATTTTACAAGGCCAGTATCACCTTGATACCTAAACCAGACAAAGAATCACAAGGGAACAAAACCATAGACCAATTTCTCTGATGAATATTGATGGAAACAATTCTCAATAAAATACTAGCAAACCGAATCCAATAACGCATCAAAAAGATTATACTTTGTGACCAAGTGGGGTTTATTCCTGGTGTGTATGCCTGCTTGAAAAATACACAAATTAATCAATGTGATACATTTCATTAATGGAATGAAAAATAAAAACCACATGATCATCTCAATTGACAGAGAAAGAAACATTTGACAAAATCCAAGATTCTTTCTTGATAAAATCTCTCAACCGTTTTGATATAGAAGAAAAGTTTCTCAACATAATAAAGGGCATTTATGGGAAAACCATAGCAAACATTATAATCAATGGAATAAAATGGGAAACTTTTCCATTAAGATCCGGTAAAAGAAAAGTGTGGACTTTCTCACTGCTTGTATGCAGCTTCAGGAATTTTATTAAAATATTGACAAATTCAAGAAGTACTTTTTATTATCTAATATCACTGAAATGATAAGAAGAAAAGTAGATATACCATAGCCTTTTTATATCAATGTTTTAAGTAATTTTTCTTCCGGACATAAAGATTGAGACAGTAGTCGTGTTGTTGTGAGAGTTTAAGAAATAAGAAAGAAAAAAAAATGCTAAGGAATGTACTTTCTTTAGTTTCTTGGCTAGGTTCCCAAAGTGAAAGAGGTTGTTTTGGATTTTGCTCTCGTTCTTATTTGGGGACCTCAAAAAAGCACAGCATAGGCCCAATTCACTCATGCCTGTAATCCCAGCACACTGGGAGGCTGAGGTGGGCTAATCACCTGAGGTCAGGAATTCAAGACCGGTCCGGTCAACATGGTGAAACCCCGTCTCTACTAAAAATACAAAAATTAGCTGGGTACGGTGGTGAGTGCCTGTAATCCCAGATACTCAGGAGGCTGAGGCAGGAGGATCACTTGAACCTGGGAGGCAGAGGCTGCACTGAGCCGAGATCACACCGCTGCACTCCAGGCTGGGCAACAGAGCGAGACTTGGTCTCAAAAGAAAAAAAAAAAAGCACAGCATAATTTGTCACCAGCAATAACATATATTATTAATAAAAGAAACAGGGACTCAGAACAACCGCCAGGATTTCTTGTGAAAGCAGGGAAGATCCTATCGGAAGTACACTGTTCTGCAATGCAATATTGGTTTCTGAGCACTGAGATTCTGTCCCTCACAATTTTTAAAAAATCTTTGCCAATTCATAGTAAAATATAATGTAGGAAATATTGATCCACACTTCATTCTCCCTTTCTGTTAGCTTACTTTCTGTACCAAGCTCTGAAAGAGAGTGATCCATAATCTTACAGGAACATGGGATTTTATTTACTCATATTGCTTTGGGAAATATCCAACAAAAATGAGAGTAAGTTCTGGGAGATACAGCTAAACATGGATTAGATATTTCTTATCGTGTCACCTCTGTGGCAAGCCACTTGAGCAGGGCTTAGCAAAATAGTGTTCAAACTTGCCAATAGATGTCTAAATGAAATCATTCAATCCAGTCAATCCCAAGCCCTTCCCTCACAGAACCACTTGACTTTAGTCAAGAAAATGGGTTAAACATCAGGTAGATGGAAATAATAAAAAGGCAGCTTGGAAAGGATAATATAAGACATGATATGATATGATCTGTGATATTGTGATCTGTGAAGGCTTGAAAGTCATGAAGAATGAAGTTCCCGGAGTCAGGTTATGTACTAAACTCTAAGAATTAAAAAAAAAAAAAATGTTTGTTGCCCTGAACGTATAAACTCAAAAAGAGTTATTTATGTTTATTTCTCTCTAGTTTTTCATAATTACAAAAATAATACACTAAGCAGTTTCCTGAACTGGGGAAACCACGTCATCTAAAACCCCACAACTAACACAACTGTAATCCCAGCTAAGCCTCTTTCCTTTTCCATTGTTGTCTTCATGAATAGGAGTTGTATATTGCTAAATCACCACAAACATTTTATTTACTATCTGCTTTTTTTTACCGCATATTGTATATTCTATTGACTCAGTTGGTAAACTACATTAGATACTAAAATATAGGGATGGTCCATTTATTTTTTCCAATGTTGTTAATATTTATAACTATATTTCTGTCACAGCCTTTCCATAAAGTGTGATAATTACAACATATTTTTAACAGTGCTCTTATTTTTTGGATATGTATCTTGGTTCCAATTTTCCACTATTTTAGGATAAGGCTGCAATGCTTTATTTCCCTCTTTGAATTAGTTTCTCATGATAGATCACAGAATGAAATAGTGTAAGCATTTTATGGATTTGAATACATATGACTCATGCTAATTTACAATAACAACCGTGTGTAAGTGTACTATCAGCAATTCAGTGTTACATTATTAATGCATTTTAAAAATAATCACCAATACTATGGGCAAAACTCATTGTTATAAGAGGGATTGTTAGGCTTTATTTAGCCTACTCAGAACTTCTAAGAATTATATTCTGTAAGTCATTGCTGCATTTATGATTAAAAACATTTTAACTTTATAGACAGTGTGCATTATGACTCAATTACCCTTATCCTTGTTAATTCCCTTTTCCTGCTATAATAGTTTTATTGGGATACATTATGAAACTTGTAAAACCATAAATAGCCATGGATCGTATTGCATTCTGAAAAGAGTGAGTTCCATTGGAATATAAAACCAAATGAAAAATGAAACTTTATGCACATTTTAACATTAAAGAAATGGGATAATATGATAGAGTAAATCTTACCTCTTAAAATTCTTGTGCATTATACATTCTCATAAATAAAATATATTCTACTATAAGGACAAAATAGAAATACATCTTTCTTTAGGACAAATCATTTGATTATTCAATTACTCATGTATACCCACAGTAGTCTCTGCTTTCCTAAGGTTGAGGAAGGAAGGCAAATCCTGTACAGAGGTGAACAAAACTGAGGATCGAAATTGACCAATCCAAAAATCACAGCTGACTAAGTAAGTGAGAGCCCCAAGTCTCACCTGATACTCTGTGCGAAGTCCTTTTCTCTCACACTCTGTGACCTGGATTTTTCAGAGTTCTTTGTTTCTTCCTCAAGTGATTTTTTGTTTTTGAGGCTTAAACATTGGACCAAAGCCTAGGCAATGTGTGTGTGAATAGTACATTCTCTTTGGGGAAATAAATGGGTAGATACTTGAGCATGATCCCAGAGCTAAGAATAACTCTAAACTGTCTATAGAAGTTGGCCTGGATTTTAGTCTTTCACACCACTTCGAAGGTTTATAAGACTGGGTAACTACATTTTTCTGTTCTATGTAGTGAGTGCATCAAGGATATAAAAATGAAGCCACTGAGTTCAATTGTCTTTCATTTAAAAGGCTCAAAATGTGTGTCTGTGTGTGTGTTTCTTTGTGTGTGCACATATGTGTATCAGCATGCATATATTGCTGTGTTTAATAACATTGGCCGGGCGAGGTGGCTCACACCTGTAATCCCTGCATGTTGGGAGGCCGAGGCAGGTGGATCACCTGAGGTCAAGAGTTCGAGACAAGCCTGGCATACGTGGTGAAACCTGTCTCTGTTAAAAATACAAAAATTAGCTGGACATGATGGCACGCACCTGTAATCCCAGCTACTCGGGAGGCTGAGGCAGGAGAATCACTTGAACCCAGGAGGCAGAGTTAGCAGTGAGCTAAGATCGCGGCCATTGTACTCCAGCCTGGGCCACAGGAGTGAAACTCCATCTCAAAAAATAAAATAAAATAAAAATAAAAATAAAATAAAAAAATAAAATAACATGATTAGTGAAGTATTTTAAATTACAAATTAACACATGCTCATTGTAAAAAGTGTGTGATATTAACCTACACAGGGCAAAAACAATGAAAATTGTCTTCTCATTTGCCTCTCATCAACAGTCTAAAATTTAATCACTATTAATAGTTCTATATACGTTTTTCTAAATTCTTACCGTATGTATATCTATGTATATTTTATACAAGTAGTATATTACCACTAATATCCTTTTTTCATTCAGTAATTACTATAGAACATTATCTTTTATCTTACTATGATAGTAATACAAAATCATAGCAGATAATTTTGAAAACAAAGACAAATACAAATAATAAAACAAAAATAACCTGTTTTGCATTTATAGACCTTTATATACTTATATGTTTAAAATAACATTTGGATCACATCATATATATTGTGTTATAATATGATTTTTTCCTCTTAATATATTTGGAGCATTTCTCCTGGGATTCAATGTCCCTCTATGACATCGTATATGCTGGCTGCTTGTTTTAAAAATAAACCAGGATTTATTTAGTTCTTCTTAGATCGTTGGATATTCAGGACTTTTTAAACCATTTTTTCAATATTATAAGTAATGGAGTAATGGTATTCCTGAGGCTTTATGCATATGTCTACTGGTCACAGTGTTTCCTAAATTAGAAATTGCCAACTCACAGCATGTGAAATTTGTAAAGGTTAGATACATATTACTATATTTCACTCCTGAAAAATTTTTTAAGATTGATTCTCCCAACAAGGAATTCACAAGAACATCTGTTTGTGAAGAAGTTATTTCTGAATTTTATTATGATCCAAAGGATTAATTGAGATGATACATAAATCAGGGAATAAGCTGCAATATGTTACTGAATCCTTAAGATTGGATAGTAACAAATAATTGACTGGCATAACTCTAGTTAACTACCAGTAACTTGTCAAAATGATTTGGTAAGTCTCTAATACAAGAGTATTGAGTATGTAATATACTCAAAATATTATATTGTATTTAAAATATAATATTTAGTATAAAATATAATTTTTATGCATTTCTACCACCTCCCCTGACATTATTCTGTGTAATGTCAGAATCCACTGAGGCATGTTTTAGTAACAATTCCAAAATCTCAATGGCTTCTATATATATACATTTTTTTTTACGCTGCTGTTTATTGTTATCTGTGGGTGATCTGTGGCTCTGCTCTACTCCGGATTCATTCATTCTAGGATCCAGGCTGCAGAGTAGTCCTTATTGAGAAAATAACTTGTCCAGGAGCAGAGGGAAAAGAGGACTGGTAGAACCATAATTAGGCTCGAACTTCTGCTTAGAAAAGGCTCACATTACATCTTCTTAAATTAATTAGCTAAAGTGAGTCAAATAGCTGTTCCTCACATCAGTGAGGTGGAGATACCTAATTGTCCCACTATGAAAGGCGAGACAAGCTACATCATCAAACCTGTTATCAACACAGCAGGAAAGTTCAGTTCCATGCAGGAGCAGCTAATATTTTATATCAAATAGAATCTTCCACAACCTGGTTCGGGAAGGGGTTTCAAACTTGGGAAACACTTTGGAATGATCTAATGGTCTATTGCAATACTAATATGTACATCAATTTGCTCCATACCCTCCTATGCCCTTGTTCCTAAGATGCAAAATAAATGATTTTATATGAAGAAATCTCTACAGTGTTAAGTATTTAAGGTATGCAAACCTTTGCCTTGCCCACACAGATATTATAAATTATAATTCTCTCCTCCTTCTTTTCCCCTTGTTGCTATTAAGCAAATCTTCACACCACAAGAAAGGTTTGAGGGTAATTCTCCTCAATCTAAGATCTGTTCAGTCTCCTCTTTCTATGTATCTAGAAATGCTCTTTGCCATTTTGGAAGAGTAGGGAGAACCTTTGTATAGGCTCCTGTAACTTTATATGAAAAACATTCTTCCAGTATGTATGTTGATTACAAAACTCTTTCTTTCTGTAAATCAATTTCTATCCATATTTCTTCTCCCATTGTTAGGACCAGCTCCAAATAAATGTGTATCTCTTTGACAAAATGTTAGAATACTAAATTTTGCAGTAAAAATTCATGTTATATATAGAGATTTTATATTACCCACAATTAAATAGACAAAAGTATGAAGATTTCTGGCATATCTCAGGAGGTAAATGACTAGGCAAATGAAAACAAAAGTAGAATATGTAAGGGCATATGTATTTGTAGTGTGTTTGCTGAGTTTCAGCTTTTATTTATTACCCCTGAGTGTCCCATATAAAACAGCAATCTATCTAATATCAATGTCTAAACTCAGCTATACCTCACATTCTAAATTCTCTCCTTCCTAAGTGGTGAATCTTATCTCTTGAATTTCATTGCAAAGTTTGAATATTGGAAAAGTGTTTAAAGGTTTTAAATCATGTTTTAAAAGTTATACTTTGCCATTGTTATCAGTATAATTTATTTTCTCTTGCACATGCACATGTTTTGATAGAGGAAAATTTATTTTAATTTTAATTCTAATTTTAGAATCAATTCACACTTAGATGACGAAGAATAGTTTTATAGCTGACTCTTTTCTCCACATGCTTGAATTTTTGGAAAGTTGATGTTCTGGAATTTTCCACATCCCTCGTCACTTAAGATAGCAGAAATAATTTGTTTCTTGGCAGGAACTTCAGTGTCAGGGTCTCTCCATCATCTTGGTCTGAGGTTCATAATGATTCTTTTCTTCTCATTGGATTGTACTAAGACCTTTGTTTGTTTTAATCTCTCTCCATAAACCTAGGTCTATGGTCATTTAAGATTGAATATACCTATACTAATATAATTCCCTTCATGGCAGGAATCTAATAGGGTAGAATGAGGGGAGAGTTTTTTAAGTCTCATTAAACATATACTGCATGCTAATATAGACAGTCATACTTCATTTCTAGTGTTATATTGAAATGTGTCCCAGATGTTTTCAAGATCTCTGGCCTAGAAATATAAATGAACTTGGAACACATCTTGATGAGTTTGCCTCCGTGTGAATAGTATACATTCAGCAGCAAGCACAACGATTGTCAATGCTATGCAGTAAGTATGGATGGATTTTGTATATTTCTAGAATGGAGGCCCCCATCAGAGACCCTACAACACGTATTTGTAGCCTATTCACTGCTTACTCGTAGGAACATGCTTACATTATCACTTATTCTTCTACAGATATTCAAAGTTTTTATTCTTGCATGATACCTGCACCACAAACTTGTATAGAAAGGCAGGAGTGCTTATAGTTTTCTACATTTCTGTTGAAGCCATTATTGCCCTGTCATTGCATTAAAAAAGCAAACTCCTTTGAGACCATACTACATCATTAAACTAACTGCTTTCTTGTCATTATGGGAAATCTTTCACTCTTATTTACTGATGTTTTTGGTATGTGGTCCATTGTCTCTCTCTCCGACTAGATACCTTTTACCTTTCTGAACAAATCTATAAAATGTGTGTGGAAAACACATATATCACCACAGCAGTGTATCACTAGACACCTACTACTACAGGAAAGGAATCCAATATATTTTGATGACTCCCTGTCATGAAACATGATGAAATGCCTGAAATAGCTCTACTTGTAAAGTCTAATATGTGATTATGTAAAGGCAGTATTGTATCCTCACTGTTACCTTTTTGTTTTACTCTCCTTACATCTGATTTCTCACTGCCATTTTTATGCATTTGCCTGTCTTGACTTCCTTTCTGAATCTAATTCTGTTGTCCTTGTTTTTCTTCTTAAAATACATATATTAGTATGCTAGGGCTGCCAAAACAACATGATATAACAACAAGACTGGTTGGCTTAAAAACCAAACATGTATTTTCTCATAGTCCTGGAAACCAGAAGTCTAGGACTAAGGTGCGATCAGGGTTGGTTTCGGGTGAGGCCTCTCTTCCTGTCTTGTGGATGGCCTGCTTCTCACTGTGTACTGTGCCCTCAAGTGGCCTCTTCTCTGTTCACATGTAGAAGGGGAGAACTCTCTGCCATGTCTTCCTTTTCTGATAAGGACTCCAGCCCTATCAGATTAGAATCCAACACTATGATTTCATTTCTAACCTTACTTACCTTCCTAAAGGTCCTGTCTCCAAATACAGTTATGTTAACCGTTAGTGCTTCAACATACAAATTTTTAGAGGATACATAATTTAGTCCATAGAACCATTCTTTAAAGGTTACAGTATACACTTCTTAAACTCCTGTGATAGGTATGCTTAATTATGCTTATTTTTGAGATGGAAAAATACATTAACACAAAGACTATTACTTAATGATTATTCTTCGTCTATAAGAAATTATATGTATAGTGGTTTAACAAAATAAGAGATATATTTTCTCATTAAAGAGAAATTACAAAAATAAGAATTTTTTTAATGCTCCCCAAGATTCCAACACCCTGGTATCCATGCCCTGTATAACCTTGAATGTGGGTGAGAACTTTGGCTGCGATGGGATTTCACCCTTGTGATTAGGTTATATTATGAGGCAAAGGCGAAGGGAATTTGCAGGTACAATTATGATCCCTAGTCAATTGATTTTGAGTTACTCAAAAGAGATTTATCCTGGGTAAGATTAACCTATCAAGTGAGCTCTTAAAAAAAAAAAATAAAGGTTCATTCATACCCTCCCTAGAAAAGGAGATTCAAAACAGCAAGACACTCTCCTGCTGGCCTTGAGGAAGCAAGCTTCCATGAGTTCTACAGTTATAAGTAAATGGATTCTGCCAACAATGATGTAACATTTGAGGAAGATCCTAAGCCTCAAATAAGACCCCAGCTCTAGCCCACACTTTAATTTCAGTCTTGTAAAACCTTAAGAAGAGAACCCACCTAAGTTGTGCCCAGACTTCTGACATGTAAATTTGTGATATAATAAGTGGGTATTGTTCAGCCACTGGACTGAAGATAAAATCTTATTTATGGGAGTTCAACCACTTATTACCATGAAATATGCAACTACTTATTTACTAAGTGTGATATATTCTGGGGTAGAGAGTACTTTACAGTAATAATAGTTATGTCCCCTATCTCCCTCCACCCACTCTCTATTAACCTAGTGACACTCTCTGCTGAACTTCCAATTCTCTACCTTGAGAGTCTCATACACTCTCTCTCCCCAGTTTCTGATCTAATTCTTACTCAGAAAGATTGTTTGAGAAACACATTTCTAGTCACCGTTATAGAGGATCTACAAGGACATTATTTTCCCCAAGTGGTTGGGAATTTCTGAACTGGAGTCATACCAAATGGTTTGAAAATAATAAAGGTAAGGATGGAGATTACGTACTGTCAAGCCTAAGTGGCTCTTTTTCATTCTTGAAAGCAAAATGTTTTCTTCAGAGAACTATGATAAGTTGTAGTTGTTTATTTGCCTACTTGTTTCACCATGCCACCTCATAGATTATGATTTTCATGAAGACAAGGAATGTGTCTGATAATTAGAGCATAGTAGAGAACCTGGCACAGAGTAATCCAATAAATAGTTCTTGAATAACTGGCCCAGCATTTAATGTGCCTAGGATATGTCCTGAACCTCCCACATCTGGTGCAGACCTCTCCCATGCAATCAGAAGATTGCATAACAAGTATAAATCATAGCCTGAAGCTCAAGGTGTTTATAATTTAGTTAAAGTGACATGGAAGCCACTAATAAGAAGTATTCAAAAATGAATAAATAATACATGCAGTCCACAAAATGTGTATGAAAGAGACAGGGGAGATTTACTTATGTGGGCTTATTAAATCAGGGAAAGCCTCACAACTGGACTCAAAATATTAGGCCAAGGTTTAACAGGAAAGTAATGTTTGGAGCAGAAACATAATTTTATAAGCGGTTTCACAAATGGTTTACAGTGGATTAAAAACTCTGTTTTATCAGCTTGTGTATTGATATCTGTTTGCCAGTAATTAATATTGAAAATAGCTTCTAGGTACTTGCAGAAACCTACAATTCTATTCATATATTCATGAAGCTAGGTAGTTTTCTACTGAAAAAGAAAAGATCCCTATAGATTTTATATTAGATTGGTGCAAAAGTAATTGCAGTTTTTGCCATTGCTGTCAATGGTAAAACAAAACAAAACAAAACGCAAAAAACAAAATGCAATTACTTTTGCACCAACCTAATACTTGAGTCAAATTCTAGACCCTGGTTTTCATCGTTAGAGTAAGAAACCCTTCCATCATCCTATGTTCTGGTCTGACTTGAGAATTCTGTTATTTCTAAATAACATAAAAAATGATACACTAAATGCCAATTTGATTTTCCCTGTTATAGTTCTTTCTATGTAATAACCAGATCATGACAAACTTATTTAGTGAAATATAACCAGATCTATAGGTTTTCAGTACACTTACCAGAAGAGACAGTGGCTTATATTAATGAAAATTGTTAGAAGGTTTTATGCTCTGTCATTAATTTAATTCTTTTTATTGTTCTTGTTCATAGAACAAAGGAAAAGAAAATTCTTTAAAATATCAACTAGCACTATTTCTAGGATCCCTGGTAATGTTCTTGGTATGTAGGTAATAAATTGCTGAAGCTTTATCTCACCTTGTGCTAATTTCCTTCACTGGTAGATCTTGGCCATGGAGTTCCTAACTGATGTGGTCATTTCCAGTTTTTCTTTGTTAAGGAAAAGAACCCTTTCCTAAATTGTAAGGTCATATTTTTTACTGAGTCTTCTCCTTTTTCTTATCCTTCTCCTCCTCCTCCTTGCCTCCTCTTCCTCCTCTTCTGCTTCCTCCCTCTCCTCCCCCTCCTCTTTCATAATTATTAGCCTGTTAATAGTAGGAAAGAGTAAATGTCAATTCTAAAAGCAAAGTAACATTACCTGACAGGCCCAAGCTGTGACTAAGGATCTAATAGTAGGAAAGAGTAAATGTCAATTCTAAAAGCAAAGTAACATTACCTGACAGGCCCAAGCTGTGACTAAGGATCTTGTCTTAAAATTATATTACCATCTTTATTTGCATAATAGAATATTACCATTCTATTAGAGCTCTCACTGGAAGATGAAAAATATAGCCCAGTGAGTCCCTGAGAAGACTCAGGGGATTCCTTCTCCTTGGTTCTCTGTGCTGGGTTACTTTTTCTAGTGCTCAATTGTCTTATCTTCAAGTATAAAAATAAATACATTTCTGGGTCCATTAGAAAGTATCGTTTGTTGAGTCCCGGAGATTTGACTCAATTTCAAATTTAGCACTTGAATAAAAATGATCCTGTATAACGTTAAAGAATACTTCTGTGTTTAAAGATTATAGTTTTTAAAGAAGAAACTATTTTATAAAAGAGAGAGAGTGAAGTGAGAAAGAGAAAAATAAAGTATGAATCCAGTCACATGAGAAGAATCCATTCCTTTCTTGAAGTTGTGCCTCTTGCTCTTAAAAAGAGATTGACTAGGCGGGCGTGGTGGCTCACGCCTGTAATCCCAGCACTTTGGGAGGCCTAGGTGGGTGAATCACGAGGTCAGGAGATCGAGTCCATCCTGGCTAACATGGTGAAACCCCGTCTCTACTAAAAATACAAAAAATTAGCCAGGTGTGGTGGCACGTGCCTGTAGTCCCAGCTACTCGGGAGGCTGAGGCAGAAGAATTGCTTGAACCTGGGAGGCGGAGGTTGCAATGAGCCGAGATCATGCCACTGCGCTCCAGCCTGGGTGACAGAGCAAGACTCCATCTCAAAAATAAAATAAAATAAAATAAATAAAATAAAATACAATAAAATAAAAAAGAGATTGACCATGTAATGACCATGACATTAAGACCAGTTGCATAATTTAGTCTTTTTTTAAGTAACACACTTTAAATATGTATGAAACCCAGCAAAATCAGGGATTAATAGCATGGAAAAATCTGCAGCAGACTCAGCATCTCCCATCTGGGTAACATGTAGGACTGTCTTCCATGTGGGACATCTCTCTCTGGCTTCCTCCCCACATCATTCCAGTCTCTGAACCTTGGACATGCTATTTTATTATGATTACTAAAGTGTGTTCAATATATGTGTCTCCCTGTCTGTGTTCCCTACTAGGCTGTTAGCTTATCAAAGGCAAGGATGTAATGTTATTAATCATTAATATCTCAAATTTTTAATAATCAATATCTTGCTTAGCATCTGCCTAAACAGTAGATATTTAAAAAATAAATCATGCTTGTTGAATGGTGGCACAACTTAGCTATTTCTTATAGGCTGTGAATTGAAGTTTTTGTTTTACCCAGTTTTATACGTGAAGAAATACATGTGTAAATCAATAAATGGATGAATGAATGGATGGATGATGGATAATTGATGGATGGATTGATGGATGGATGAATAGAATGATGGATGGATAGATGTGTGGATAGAAAGATAGACTGAATTATTATGGGGTTCATTGTGTGCTGTTTAACATACCAGACATTGTGCCAAGTTGAATCAAACAATCTTTACCAAACAGATCAGGGCAAGTTGCACCAACAATCTACTTTTCCTGGGTCCCCTTGTATTTAATATAAGCCCTATAAATATAATCTGTCACTTGAGAAAAAATTTACTTCACCAATTAGATGAAACTAAATGATTAGAGCCCTAATCCCCTGCCTTAGCCGTGGACTCATTGTGACAGAATTCACTTTGCCTAGGTACTCATAACTTTGTGTTTTTGTGCTATTTTCAGGTGTTACAGAATAGAAAGAATGAAATATGTGAGTTGCTTTTTCAAACAAGACAGCATTAGGGGAAATCAATGGTTTTAATAAACTGTGGCTATGGATTGGTGTTCAACATACACATGTTCAAACTTTTCTTCAGGAATCCAGTCACATGCCCTGAGCTGACCTGAAAGTTCTCTTCTTTATTGACTGATTGATTGTAAGAATAAGGGGATTTTTAACACAGAATAAAAATGCAGCTGTCTGTGGGGAGGGCTGCTGGGGACAAGTGCCTGGAGCGGAGAGGCTGGGGAATGAATTTTTCAATGTGGTTAATGAAGTGTGCTGTCAGTGGACGTCAGTGGTAATTAGCAATATGTGTAATGGGATGAGCTTGGGCAAGCTTGTCTTCTCCCACTTCCAAATGGCCAGCAGCACAGGTGAAAAGGAAAGTGCATAAGTGTCACTCTCACCCTTTGGTAGAAAAAAATATAATTGTAAAAAAAGTGTGAGAGCGTATGAAGGAGCAGAAGGAGGAGGAAAGCCTTTGAAACACAGAATATTCATTACTTACATTTGTGTGCTCATTTTCTATGTAAAACGCACTTTCACAGAAGTGTTTCCATAGTTATAGCAGTCTCTATCTTTTTTATATTCGTGATTGTTTTAGCAATATATAGGTAATTCAGTAAGTATAGTAAACTTGGGAACAACAGAAAAGAAAATTAAAATTTCTCAATGAAACGTAATCATTGTTAATATTTTGGCATATTTTCTGCCAGACAGTTTTTATGTGAAAGTTATATTATTAACAGTTGTATTCATAGTATAGGTACAATTTTATCTAGTGTTTTATCTAACATTTGAGTTTTTATGTCAGTACAAATCAAATACGTATAACTTTCACTGGGGTTACTCCATACAGAGCAGTGCTGTAAGCATGTCATGAATTACAATGCAATGATTACAAAAACCCTAAAAGATAGGTACTATTATTACCTGTATTTTACCATTGAGGAAATTGAAACACAGAGAAGATAAATGTATTTTCTAGTGTCACATGTATAATAAATGCCAATGTTGGCACCCAGTACTAGTCAGCCTAGTTCCGGAATGTATACTTTCTGCTCTTGTTACTAGAGCAGGGATCAGCAAACCTCTTCCGTAAAGGGCTAGATGGTAAATAGTTGAGACTTTGTGGGTCTTATGGTCTCTGGCACAACTACTGCACTCTGTAACTGTAGCACAGTGGCTATTGACAAGATGTAAACAATTATAATAGGTACATGAGTGAGCAATTCTATGCTCTAATAAAACATTTATGGACACTGAAATTTTAATCTGATACAATTTTCACAGGTCAGAATAGAATAGTATTTTTAATTTGTTTTTTCAACCACTCAAAAGTGAAAATACTATTCTTAACATCAGGGGCCCTTTCAAAAACAGGCTGCAGACAATAATAGCGTGTGGTTCCTTTATTAGACTAATCCATGCATTATTCACCACCTAGTAACATCCCCTGTGGTTAGATATTTAGGTCGTTTCAAATACAAAAGGGTTGACTCAAATGAAAATTTACCTAATATAAATGATGTTATGATGAATATTTTCGTACATGAATCTTTTACTTTTTAAAATAATATTTTCTAAGCGGATATTTCCAGACCATCTGCTCAAATGGCATGATCAATGAATTTTATTGGAAAACAACTGCATATCATTGCTGTAATGATATTTTGTGATTGCTGTTATTGAGCAGATACTGAACTAATAAAAATTTATTTAGGAAAATTTCTAAAATTTCTAATTGTCCTCCCAAAGTGCTATATCATTATTGTAGCTAAAGATGATAAACCATTGAAGAGTGAGAAAAAAATTAAAAACATTACATTTGATAGAGTGCTTTCTAATTTTATTCATGTCAAACATTTTTTTCTCCCCTGTTGGCTCTGGTGTGATTTTTCTTAGAGCCTGTTTTGATAAAAGAATACCAGTTTCCTTGGGTATTGCTTTTAAAACCCAGTTAAAATGAAAAGACAGGCTGAGGGCTGCCCAGCTGCACAGTGGTGGGCTGAGCTGTTTCTGCGTGGTTGGCTCCTATGGAGGCCTCGGATTCAGATGCCCACATCTGCAGCTGCATCCCTTCCTAAAGGCCACATATATTTGCTCAGTATCATGCCCTAAAAATGCATTCCCTTAGCTTCTTGGTTACTGCTGCTAAATGCAAGCAGAAACCAGCAATCAAGTATGGCTCATCCTACGCAAACCGATCCACACCCCGGGCAGACATCCCAAAGTTAGTTTCCATATGCCTGTTAGGAGGAGGACTGTCTTCACGTAAAGATTCAGACTTTTGAAGTAATGAGGATGTTCTAGTTGGTAGCAGTCCAGATTCTGGGACTTCTCCCATTGGAATTGGTTAGTGCAGGCATCATAATGAAGTGACAAGAAACTTTAAATCAAAACTACATTCCTAATATTTGAAGAGGGTATTTTAAGCTCAGCAGAGGTTTACTTCTACTGCTTCTGATTCCTTGGTGGTAAATTTAATGTTGATATCCTCTCAATCGCCTGCCTTCACTCTTTATAACCATATGATTGCAGATGGAAACTTAATTTCACTTGCACCTCAAAATAACTCTGGTTTTCCACTTTTCATAGCACACTTAAAATCTCAGTCCAGCGGCTAGATAGTACAATTTACAAAATTGCCAGGGAAAAGAGAGGGGCATCCCCCGTTCTCCAGCTTTGTCAATCCCCTTACATTTCACAATCGCTCTACTCTTTCAGGTCCACACATATTTTAGAACACAATATATTCATGGCTGGAAATTTTCTTTTGTGTGACCTTTCTACCTCTCTTCCATCCACCCCACACATCACACATCCACCAAGGCCTCTAAGAAGACTTTTGAGATCCCCCTTCACATTTCTGAGATAAAATGAACTAATGATCTTGTCCCATTTTTGTGCTCCATGGTACCATAGGACTATTTCTATTATAACATTTATTTCATATTTATTGCATTTGGGGTAGTATTTATAGCCTGAGCATGACTGCTACAAACCAACCTCCACTAAACTCCACAAACTAAAGATTGTTGGAGTGGCTTAATGTACCTTGCCAATATTGAACAAGTAGCTCTTGACCTAGGTTGCATATGAGAATCACCTGAAAAATCTAGTAAACTATCAGTTCCCCGATTGTATCCAAAATAGATTAAATCAGAATCTTTGGGCATGAACCTTAGGCATTGTTAATTTTAAATCCTCTCCCACATGACTCTGATGTGTAGCAGGTTGGAGAACCGCTGGCTTAAGCCATAGTCAGGAAGCCTCACAGATTCAGCTGTGAAATTCTTCTCTGACATAATCATGCCATTCTTTTTTCTCGTCCAGTGACAAGCCAAGTGTATCATTTTTGAGACTCATCTCCAGCCCTATTTGATGTTCTGCCCATTTCTAACGGAAGACTGAGCGCTATGTAGTCTATTTCCAGAGCTGCCATGAATATTTATACGTTGCCTGCATCTTTACAAATTAGAAAGCAGCAAGATGAATGAGAATAGTGAATCAGAGAAGACACAGAGTGTGATGCGGGCAGAAATTTACTATCTCATTTCTATTTAAAACCTGATGACTCAGAGAAGGAGGCAGTCCACATCCATTTCAGTAAATTCCTTAATGCTCTCCAGCATAGCACTTTAGATTTTAGCACTACTGGGGGTGCTTTGATTTATTCCCAGGAAGAATGTTCCTCTGTGTGTGTGTGTGTGTGTGTGTGTGTGTGAGAGAGAGAGAGAGAGAGAGAGAGAGGACAGAGAGAGAGAGAGAGAGAGAGAGAGAGAGAGAAAATATGTATTTAAGTGAGATTATCTTAAAATAAGATGGAAAAAAATACTAGGCTAATTGTTAATTATTTTCTGCATGCCTTGTTTTCTGTTATCTTGGTGACGAGAGTGTACCTCAGACCCCTAATTAATAATTCTTAAGTCTGACAAAATGCTATTTGCTTCTAAATTGATTTTTAATGTCTTTGGTTTGCATTTTCTTTACTTAGCTAGCCTTTCAACAATTATTCATTAGATTTCCCTGCCTTTTCATTTTTCTCATGCTCAAGTTCAAAATAGATTTTATAGGAGACAAGTGTCAAGATTTATTGTGGTACTATTGCAATTTGACATTTCTATACTAGAAGGACATGGAGAGAACAATAATATGCATACTTTTATCTTAGTCTTTGATTATCTGACAAGTGTGGAACCGTTTAAAACCTGCATCGTATAGCATAATGTAAGGTAAATTTGTCTATAATGATATCTGCATGCCTATATCATAAACACAATGGTGAATGCAATGTTATTTCATCAGGCACAGGGCACAGAATGAGTTGAGCACAGCCTCTGTTATAAAGTGACTATATTATTAATGCCAGGCTTTTACTTTGAAATAAAAATACAAAGCATGAGCATGGGGTCACAAATTAGCCTTCTTGGTGAATAGATCCCCAGTTCCAAAACTTCCTGTTTCCCTCCTTGGTTTGGACTACTTGACCCATCTAGGAAACTCTTCTATGTAGTCTGCAGCTAAGGGTCCACTTCACATTCATCCATCCTGTGCATCTTTGCCACATGCAACAGATGAAGCCTGACTTTCGTGGTGAGAATTCTGAAGTCTCCAACGCTCTCAGAAACTGTTGTTTCTTTAGGCATTTATTCCTTCAACAAATAAGCATTATGTTCATACTTTACAGTAACCAACATACTAGGCATTGAAGTAAAGACAATTCTTGCTTTTCCAGAGCTTACAGTCTGATGGGGAGATATATATTAAATTAAAACATACTATAAAATATTCACTAAAACCCATTCTATTTAGGTATCAGGAATTACGACACCATTAAACAGAGGAACCAACCTTGAACTGAGAGATCAGGAAAATAATGAGCCTTCTCTAAGGAAATAATGTTTCAGTTCATATTTGATATAATGATATAATTCAATAATATAATAGTGTATAATAATATAATAATAATAATAAATGTGGCCAGCCACATTTTATAGATCAAGGACCCAGTGTTCTGCAGGGATATGGTACTCATTCTGCATTAGTAATTAAAGATATTTTCCAATTCTGATGTTATCCAAGGTGCCAGTTGGACATCAATGCATGGAGTCAAATTTCCTTCTGGCCAAAAAGGAAATGACCTAGGTCTGCTTCCCTGGATTAGAGGCAGAGATAAGAATTCTGGTTCCACTGATTTACTAAGGACATAGTCTCAGGGAGAAGGGAGTGAGGGAAGTAGATTGGGACAGGGGATAAGGAATTAAACAGGAGAGTGAACTCAGCCAGAGTCTAGCATTAGGGATGACCTAGGGATGGGTAACTATGGAGCTGGAATTGCACCAAAAGTTGGAGGCAAAGAAGCTGCCTTCTTGTACCCATTGCAGGCAGTGATTGCCACGGTGTGTGTGTGTGTGTGTGTGTGTGTGTGTGTGTGTGTGTGTGTGTGTTTGTGTGTGTGTATGTGATGGGATGGAATGAGAGATGAGTGGTATTCTTGTAGCCTCTCAGAAAGCAGGCTTCCTTCGGTCATGGAAGCCTTTCAAAACACAAAACACTCATATGTTCATCACAGCACTAGTCACTATAGCAAACACATGGAATCAACCTAGATGCCCATCAATGGCAGACTGAATAAAGAAAATGTGGTGCATATATATCATGGAATATGACACAGCCACATAAAAGAACAAAATCTTGTACTTCACAGTAGCATGGATGCAGCTAGAAGCCATTATCCTAAGTGAATTAATTCAGGAACAGAAAACCAAATGCCACATGTTTTCACTTATACATATGAACATAAAGATGGGAACAGTAGATACTGGGGATGACTAGAACAGGGAGGATGGGAGAGGGGACAAGGGTTGAAAAACTACCTGTTGGGTACTAACTATGCTACCTAGGTGATGGGATGATTAGTACACCAAAAGTCAGTCACATGTAATTTACCCATGCAACAAAACTTTCACATGTACTTCTCAACTTAAAAGTTGGGGGAAAAAAACACAAAACAAAATAAAACAGAAAAACAGGAAAAGCAGCAATGAATTGCTATAATTGCTATCTGCTACAACTCACAACTGTTGGTAAGAGAATCTGGGTGGGGCACCAGGAGCCTCCACTTCAGCAGTGATTCCAGGACCAGCAGCAGCATCACCCAGGAATTTAATGGAAATGCAAAGTCCGAGATCTACGTGAAACCCACTGAATCAGAAACACAGGGGGCGAGGCCCAGCAATCTGTCTTAACAAGCCCTCCATGTGATGCTTTTTTGTTGTTGCAAACATTAGAACATTTTTTCAAATTTATTTATCGATTTAAATTGACATGAATTTGTATGTATTTATTGTGTACAACATAACGTTTTGAAGTATACAGTAAGTCCTCACTTAATGTCATCGATAGATTCTTGGAAACTTCAACTTTAAGCAAAATGATGCATACTATGTCCTTGGTTATTTTGTGATAATGTTGATGGGTAAAAATATGGTTGGTTATAGTTTGTTTCACTTAAAGTCAAAGTTTCCAAGATCCTATGAATGATGTTAAGTGATGTACTGTATACATGTTGTGGAATGGTTAAATCTAACTAATTGACAAATGCATTATATCACATAATTATAGATCTTGTGGTGAGAACACTTAATATACACTTTCTTCACATATTTGAAGAAAACAATTTATGGTAATTAACTATAATAACCATGGCATGAAATAGATCTCTTGAACTTACTCCTATCTAACTGTAATTATGCATCCTGTGACCAACATCTCCCAGCCTTTCTCTTCCATAATCACCCCAGCTTCTGGTAACCACCATTGTACTCTCTACTGCTATGAGATCAACTATTTTAGATTCCACACATCAATGGGATCACGCGTTATTTGTCTTTCTGCGCCTGACTTAAGTCATTTAACATAATGTCCTCCAGGTGCAACCAAAATGCCAGGTGATTCTAACGTGTGCTTATGTTTGAGAACTAATGTACTGCTGGGAACATTTCAAGTAGCTGGTAGAATATTCAAGTTACTCACGGAACTTGAAAAAAATCAATGAAAGGAGACAATGTTAGTCAAATTTCTAGTTCTCTGAAAACGACTAACATAATTTCAGGCAGAATGTGTAACATTATAGATAAATTTGCAGGTGCTCAATTGTCACCTGCGGATATTTGTTTTTCCCCTGAAGTCTTAGCTCAGTTGTCAGCATTTGGGCTTGTACTACAGACCTCACTTTATGCTGTCTGTCTGTGAACTGACCTGGTAAGTACATCAAAGCAAAGCAAAGATTACTGGTACAGGATGGGAATGACAAAATACAGGGATGAGTAATCTCATATCCTTACTTCTGACAATCAGTATGGAAATACATTTTCCAATAGTTCATTATTTCTAGAAGTTCTAGAAGAACTTTAAAAAGAAATAATATACTTAGATACTTCTTCTAAAAGTTGTCTGTGAGATTTGGGGTGATTTAAAAATTGAGTGTAATGGCAAATAATATTCAGTTTATCAGAAGATCAATAATGCATGGAAAATTCACCTGAATGAGTTAAAGACTGCATAAAGCAATGGGTTTTTTACATGCTTTGTTATTTGCCATGTTAGCATTCATGTTATTTTTAAATTGGGGAAATATTTTGAGGAATAAATGCTGCCTAATTTATTTAAACATCCACCCATTCAACAAATATTTATAACTTTCCTACAATGTGTCAAAGCCTTTTGTAAGATGCTGTGGATACAGTGGTGAACAAAATGAATAAGGTTGCTACTCTCATGATTCTTAACATCTGTGATAGTTTCTTGTTACTGCTATAAAGAGCTACCGCAAACTTAGTGGCTTAAAAAAATACTATCTTACATTTATAGAATTCAGAAATCTCAAATGGATTTCACTTGGCTATAACTAGGATGTCAGTAAGGTTGTGTTCCTCCTGGAGTCTCTAAAGGGATAATCTATTCACTTGCCTTTTCTAGCTTCCAGTGGCTGCCTGCGTTTCTTAGCTTGTAGCTTTACATATCTTTTCTCTCCCTCTCCTGCCTCTCTCTTTCCCCTGTAAGGATCCTTGTGATTACATTGGGTGTACTTGAACAATCCAGGATAATCTTGTAACTCAAAACCCTTAATTTAATCATATCTGCAAAATCTCTTTTGCTATGTAAAATAACATTCACAGCTTCCAGGGAGCAGGATATGGATATATTTTGGAAGAAAGGGGTGTTATTTTGCCTACGTACTATCTAACAAAGAAGAGAATGATTTCAAAAGCTATCATACAGATAGTTACATAATTAAATGATATGTGCCAAGAAGGAATTATAGGTCAATCATTTATTATTGGGGAATCAAGTAATGCTTTTGTGATAAAGTGAAGTTTAAACTGACTTAAAAGTTAAGAGTTTTCAGTTGAATAGCATAAGAAGTAGTGTTTGAGACAAGGGCTTATGCTAGCAACTTCTGGTAAAAACAGGATGGGCATGTTCAAGGAGCTAAAACACAGGCTGGCTGTCCTGTGTGGATGGTGACCAGGGAGAAATAACTCAAGGACATCTGTAGAGATAAGAATGTTCCAGGTCACCTGAGAATGTCAAGACTCACACTTCTTATACAGACAATATTTTTATTTTTGGACATGGTGAATTTTGTAATTAGGTCTTTTAGTCTTAGCTGCTATCTTTGTTAGAGCTAAATTTAAGTACCACGTGTAGCAGGTGGATAGAATGTTATGTTGGTTTATAATTTTAGGCTTACAGCTTCTCTTTGCACATACTTTTTCTTTATTCTTTCACCTCCCCACTTTAAAAATAACATCTTGTCAACGTGTACAAACATTTTCATAAAAGTTATTCAGTCATATCCCAAGCCAGGAATAATTACCTTTAGTAATTCAGCATGTGAGTTTATAGATTTTATTCTATGCATGTGTATACGTTTGTATAGAGAAAATCATGCTTTACTTGCTCTTTGATAACCTGCATTTTTTCCTCTTCATGATATATAATGAACATCTGTTTCTATCAATTTAATGTAATGTTAGTATTTCTGATTTGATAGTAGTGATTTCAATAATGTATAATGACTAATTTGACTATGTCATTCCCAATTCTCTACCATAACAAACAGTGTAGCAGTGAGCATCCTTCTATTATGCTCACACAATACATTATGTCTCCCCTTGGGATAAATTTCTAACATTGGAACTGTAGGGCCAAAGGCCATTTTTGTTCCATTTCTAATTTATGCTATCTTGACATATTTTATACTCCCAGTGAGCTGCCTTAAAACAATTCTGAGCAAGGCAGGGTAATTAATTTAAACAACAACAACAAAAAGAAAATATGTCCCACTCTTCTGCTTCTGTGTTTGAAAGGACAATAATGATAGAAATCATTTACTGAATAATCTTTATTTTTTGCTTTTTGTTTGAATAGAGTTGCAAAAAGTTCCATTTAGGTAAATGGTACTATATTTCACCCCATTATTCAGACCAAAAATCTGGGCATCATCTTCGTTTTCTCTCATTCTTTTCTTCTCCATGTGGTAGTCCATTTTGCATTACTATGAAGAAATACTTGAGACTGGGTAATTCATAAGTAAAAGACGTTTATCTGGCTCAAGTTCTGTAGGCTTCACAGGCATGGCACCAGTGCCTGCTCGGCTTCTTGTAAGGCCTCACGAAGCTTACAATCAAGGTGGAAGGCCAAGGGTAAGCTGGCCTATCTCATGGCGAGAGGGAGCAAGATAGGGAGAGAGGAGGTGCCAGGCTCTTTAAACAACCCTATCTCACATGAACCCAGAAAGTGAGAACTCACTCATTATCTTAAGAACAGCACTAATCCATTCATGAGGGATCCACCCCCATGACCCATACATCTCCCAGTAGGGCCCACCTCCAACACTGGGAATCACATTTCCACATGAGATTTAGAGGGACAAACATCCAAACCATATTGTGTCCGGAGTTTGTTCCTTCCGGTGGGTTCGTGGTCTCGCTGATTCAAGAATGAAGCCACAGACCTTCGCAGTGACTGTTACAGCTCTTAAAGGTGGAATGGACCCAAAGAGTGAGCAGCAGCAAGATTTATTGTGAAGAGTGAAAGAACAAAGCTTCCACAATATGGAAGGGGACCCAAGCAGGTTGCCACTGCTGGCTGGGGTGGCCAGCTTTTATTCCCGTATTTGTCCCCACCCATGTCCTGCTGATTGGTCCATTTTACAGAGTGCTGATTGGTCCATTTTACAAACCTCTAGCTAGCTTGACCTACTCCATCCAGGAAGTCCAGTTGGCTTCACCTCTCAATGTCACTCAACCGAGGAAGTCCAGCTGGCTTCACTTCTCAATATCACTCCACATCTGGTCCATTAGCAATTCCTTTCCAAACTGACTGCTTCTCGCCACCATCATTGCTGCTCCCACCCTTGTTCAAGACACTGTCATTGAACCATAGTAGTGACTTTTCTGATTATGATCTTTGGCCCTTGATCCCGTTGAGTTTATTCTCAACACTGAAGCTGTAGATGTCCTTCTAAAAGGTTAGTCAGTTCATGTCACTCCACTATTCAGAACCATCTGTTGGGTTTCCTTCTACGTGAAATGAAACTCGAAGTGCCTCCTCTGCCCTCCCAAGCCCTATATGTTCTAAGCCTGGCTGCTTCTCCACTCTCTCTTCTCTCTTTTCTGCCTCTCACTTACTTATCTCCAGCCACCCCAGCCTCCCTGCTATTTCCTGACATGCCATGCATGCCTCCATGTCAGGAGATTTCTATTTTCAATTGCTGTCTCTATCTCCTCCCTGGAACCCAAATTCCTACAGGCCTTGCTTCCTCACTTTTCCAGATCTCTGTTCAAACATTTATTGTCACCTTAACATCACTCCGTTTCTCCTTAACTGCTTTACTTTTTCTATTTAAAGTTTTGTGTGGATATAAATGATTTACAGAAAATGCACATATTTAATGTATATATTTTGATGAGTTTGGACATATTCTCACACCTGTGATGCCATCACCATAATTAAGGTACTGAACATATCCATCACATCCAAAAATTTCCTTATGTTTTGTTTTGTTTTGTGGTAAAAATGGTTAACATGATTTCTACCTCTTAACATATTTTAAAGTGCACAATACCATATTGCGAACTGTAGGCACTATGTACAGCAGATCTCTGGAATTTGTCTTGCGTAACTGAAAATGAATATTCACTGAGCAATAATTCTCCATTTTCCCCTTCCTTTAGCCTCTGGAAATTACCATTCTTTTCTTTGCTTCTATGAGTTTGACCATTTTAAATCTGTCACGTAAGTGGAATTGTACAGTATTTATCCTTTTGTGAATGGCTTATTTCATTTAGCATAACGCCCTCTAGGTTCTTCCATGTTGATGCAAATGGTTAGACTTTTTTATTTTTTAAGGCTGAATAATATGCCATTGTATCCACATATTTTATTATGTATCAATTCATCCATCAAGAGTCATTTAGGTTGCTTTCATATGTTGACTATTGTGAATGGTCTGAAATCCTGATTTCAATTCTCTTGGATACATAACCGGAAGTGGGATGCTGGATCATGCGGTAGTTCTATGAAACCTCTATACTCTTTTCTATAGTAGCTGCAGATTCTACATTCCCATCAGTAGTGTATAAGGGATTCAATTTCTCCACATCCTCACTAACATTTGTTATACTTTACCTTTTCCTTATAGCATTAACTACTGTCTGGCATTGCATTTTCTAGCTATTTATATACGTATTATCTGTTTTCTTCACTAGAATATGAGCTATATGACACCAAACATTTTCTTAACCAGTAACTGATTCATAGGAGGTCATATTAAATATTTGTTGAATTTATGCATGCATGCATGAACTAAGCATTAAGTTCAGATTTAGAACTGGCCAGGCTGTGACTCTTAATTGCTTCATGCAGCTGGTCACAGATATTCTTGAGAATTAAATCATCAATGTAATGTTTCTGATCTTTAAATAATGATATAGAAAACAAATATCCTGAAAATTGTTAACATTTCTGATTAAGGTTGGCATAAATGTACAAAAGTCAGCTAAGTAAGAAGGGGAAATAAGCATACCTTCTTTTTTGAAAGATAAGGACTGGAGAAAGCATTTATTTTCTCAAGCGACAAGCTTCATTTTAATTCTTTTAAAACATCGCTTCGGTATTAAGCAGTTTTTTTAATACGTGCTATGAATAATATATGTGTTTAATCAACAAACCATAAGAGCTAGCATGGTTTGAAAAGGTTTCTCAAGTATATTGTAATTGAAATACTTCATTCAATTCATCTTAAATATAACTTTCTTCTCTGTAGTGGTTCAAATTCTCCTGACTGAGGCACCTGAGTCCCTATTTCACTGCAAGTTTGATGGGGATCAGAGGCGTGTTTCCAGAAATGCTAAACATAGTCCAGGATGATTTTGTGTAGCAGCCAGAGGAGATCTGCAACAGTTCTTAGACACCCACAATGCTAATTAAATTTACCCAAGTGAAAAGCAAACACCCACCCCAGTTATTTTGAGCAAACTGGCTGGATCCTTCTGCATCCCAGCACTTCCCCCACCCCAACTTCACAGACATCCACAGCATCGCCACAAAGACAATGTAAACTATTATTCCATTTGAAAACACCTGAAAGGGGTTTGACTAAAAAAGTAGGGCATTTTTATCCTCAGTCTACTTCCCAT